>NC_000007.14:153397773-153549288 GCF_000001405.40 Homo sapiens
CTTACCTACAAACAACTAGATGCAAGGGGTCCTATTTATCCTCCAGGGAGAAAAGATAATGCAAGCTGCTCTTTGCTATCATTTAGAATTTTAGACTTTATTACAGAGCGCTGTGTTAACCAGGCTGGGGGTGGTAGACACAGAAACTCTGAAGTCACCAGGGAAACTTCACAGCAATGCTTTGACTGGGACTATTCCCTGCCTTCATCTGGCAGAAAGGACTCAGTGTAGCTGCCCCATACTTGGCCAGACGTAAAGAGTTCTTTCTGCCCTCTGCATCTGTCCTCAATCCTCCCTCTCGCTCGCTCTCTTCTCCTGGAAGGGGTTTCAGCCACATTGTGCCTGCTGCTGCAGTCTTTTTCCTTCTTTCTGCTTCCCAAGTTTATACCAGGCTACTTATTAACACAGGGCCAGGTGTGTTATAAGCATCAGTGTGTATTGTGTGTGTGTGTGGATGAGCTTCAGTGGAGCACCTGAGAAAAACAAAAACCAAACTTACAGATATTAACCACAATGGCTCCAGTCTGGGACTCCAGGAGGCTGAGGCCTGAGCAAACTCATTCTTTTTTCAGTCAAGGAGCCAGGACATTGCAGAGTGCTGTGAAAATGTCCTTTACGTGTCCCAACACCTTATAAAGAGTTTGCTTATTTCCCCAGTACAGAAATTCATGGTGATCATAAAAATTAGGAAAACACAGAAAGGTAGTTAAAGTAACCACTGGTAATTACAGTTAGTATTGTAATTACAGTTAGTATTATATTTACTGTTTAATAAAAGCCAGATGAAATAATGAGATGGAATTACGTAAGAATATTAAAAGATAAAGCATGGCAAAAATTAGTCTAACTATCATTTTATGGCTGTCCAGTAGTCTGTAAGTTGGATAAATCATAGTTTATTAAACATCTACCCTACTGGTGTATATTTAAATTCTAGCCAATTTTTCCATTACTTAAAAAAATGTAATAAACAGCTGTGTGCATTCTCACACAGCTCAATATTCTTAGACTCTCAGCCCAGATTCAGATTATACCATTACTGAATGAAAAAGTATAAATATTTCTAATGCTCTTGATACCTCTTGCCCAAGCAAATTCTAGTTTCTGTGAGAGCCATAGACTGATTTGTGAGGTAGCCACCTGGCCACCCTAGAGGGCCCTACCCTAAGGTAGCTGTGTGCTAGTTTATGCCTATGTGGCTGATCACATGGTCCCATGGTGGGCTGGGAGAGGTAAAGTAGAGAAATGGAGGTCAGGGTATGGGGGGAAGGGCAAACTTGGGGATGTGGTAGGAAGCCCTTGTCCAGAATTCACATGGGTGAAGACATTGAGATACCTGGCCAGAGGCCCTGGAAGACCACGGCTCTTTAGCCTGGAGATTCTTTCCCCTGGGACCAGTCTGGACAAGGGTGTGGAATGCCTGTGTCTGCGGAGCGTGGCGAAATTCTTTTTTTTTTTTTTGAGACCAAGTCTTGCTCTGTCACCCAGGCTAGAGTGCAATGGCACCCTCTCAGCTCACTGCAACCTCTGCTTCCCAGGTTCAAGTGATTTTCCAGCCTCAGCCTCTTGAGTAGCTGGGATTACAGGCACCTGCCACCACGCCAGGCTAATTTTTGTATTTTAAGTAGAGATGGGGTTTCACCATATTGGCCAGGCTGGTCTCAAACTCCTGACTTTGTGATCCACCTGCCTTGGCCTCCGAAAGTGCTGGATTACAGGCATGAGCCACCGCGCCTGGCCAGAAATTCATTTTTATTTGGAATATAAACTACAGTGAGCAAATTCATGTTTATTTGGTCTATTTGGAAATGTTTGGGAAAGAAACTGCAGTAAGCATTTGCCTGCCTATGGGGCCTCTTGTGCAGCCATCTCCCACTTTCTCTGTGTGGGCATTTCTACAGCAAAGTGAATTAGGCTTCCTGCTGTGCCACCACAATTAGCTGTGTGTCTATCTCCATTGTTAACATCCAATCAAGCAACAGGAAATAGCTGATTAGGTACATTTCTTTCATCTGGAGAACTATGGGCTGAGCCTTTTCTTTCAAAGAGGGTGGGGTGGACAGCATTTTCCCTTTGGTGATGAACTCTTGTTCCAGAAAGTATAAAACCCACTTACGCCAACACTGAAAAACCAAACCCAGAATGTCAAGATAGCAAATATATTTATGTTATACTGCTTAGGGGAAACATTAATATCGTATGTATCAACCTTGTAGAGCAAAGCTTTAGAGCTACTTATGAACCCTGGAAATTAAAAGGGAGCAAAACTGGGGGACACTCTCTCCCCCGTGAGGAGAGTTTGGCCATTGTCACATTACCCAGTGGTATTTATTAAGGTCTGCATGTGTTCTGTTGCTTGCTCTGCAGAAGAAAATGTATTGGGGTAATAGCAAAGGCGCACGTACCCAGGGCCAGTGCTGGGTTTGATGGACGTCCGCATGGCGGTCAGCGTGTGTCGCCAACTGTCTTTGTTTCTCTGTCAACATTCCCTTTCTCCTGCCTGTTCAGGGTTCCTGTCTCAGAATAAAAGCCCCAGAAGGACCATGACTTTTTTTTTACTGCTCAGTTCAGGTAATACACAAGGCTATAGTCATTTTTTATGGCCAACAGTCTTGATTCTGAAATTCGAATGTGCATGCCAAGATGTTAATCAAAATTCTGAACTTGACTCGCAGCTAAATCTTCCACCCTTCCCCAGTATGGGTCTGTGGGGAGGGGATGTGACTTTTGTCCTCTCTGCTTTTCCCTGTTCACCTCCTTCCACACTCAGGAGCTGAAATAGAGGGGAGAGAAGGAGGAAGGCCTGAAGGTGTGTAAGGCTTACAACGACTCTTGGAGGCTGCAAAATCCTCTTTTGTCCTCTTGAGTGTACACTTTCTGAGACCTCTTCAGCCCTTTGTCTCAATCCAGTGGACCAGACCCCAAAGGACTCCACCCAGCTCCCTGTCTCCTATAAATACTCGCCCCTTGTTCAATGAACTCCAGGAGTGTGAGATGACCCGTCTACAAATGTACTCGGGCTCTGCTTCCCGAGTGCAACTGCAGGGGTGACCTTCAGCATCTGGAGTGGTGAGGACTCCAAGCCTAGTTCACTGTCTCTGCATGGATGGGGCACCCGGTCTCCTTCTCTCCCAGTTCCCAGGACCACAGGTGGAAGCCGTCTGCCCTCAAGCTCCTGCCACCTCACCTCCCGCTCCTGCCCAGCTCCGTGGCTCCGGCAGCCCTGCCAATCTGTGCAGACCCTACAGAACCTCGTCTCAGGGCCTTGGCGCTGGCTCTTCCCTGTGCCGGAAAGACATTTCCCTCAGTTGCCTGCGTGGCTAATCCCTTTCCTATTTGTTCAAAAGTCACCCTTTTAGCAAGTTCTATTCTGGCCACCATATTTAACTTTCTCCTGTCCTGCCTCCAGTCCTGTACCCCTGAGTCTGCTCTATTTTTTTCTATGGTGCTTATCACTTTCCAACCTACTGTGCTATTTACCCGTTTATTATATGTATGCTGCTGATGCACCTGCTTCCAGTAGGATGGAAGCTTGAGAGGGCAGGGGTGTTGGTCTGCACTGCTCACCGTTGGATGCTAGATGATTAGAGGGATGACTCAAAACGTCAGTGCTCCGTGAGGTTTTGCTGAGCATGCAAATGAAGCAGCAATCTCTCAAAATCCTCTTTTCTCTCGTGTAACTCTTTCCATGTTTGAAGTCCTGGATATTGCCTTTTAAAACTTATATATTTTGATTTGGCTACTCTCTTTATGCAACTTCATATCTAATTCAGCTGTCTATTGGACATTCAAGTTAATAACCCTTTCAGTATTTTTTCGTAGAAAATGGTGGAATTGTGTTACTATTTTTCATGATTTTCCGCAGGTTTCATATTTAAAAAATTAAAGTAGTCTTGATTAGTTTATTTTCCCTGGGGCCTGGAAATGACAGAATTTAACACGTGAGCCAAAAGGTCAAATAATGTGAAAGTCAGTGTCCGGTTGGACAGAATATTCATAGTGGGTGCCTCTTGTCCTCCTCCTCCAGCCTGAGATCTTGTGCCCACCCATCTGCCCTGTGCATCTCTGCCATCATCACCACCCCCGTTGTCTGTATTCAGAATGACTCGCTGTTCCCCCCACACACCGTGCACTTTAGTCTCTCCTCCTCCGCACCTGCTGGGGAGCCTCCCGGGGAAGCCGCTTCTTTTGTAACCCTGCCTCTTTCTTTTCAGGACACAATTTTCTCACCATCTCTTCCTGGATGCCTTTCTTCATTCCCGCATGTTAGCTGTCACCCTCCTCTGGTCATCATCCTGCACCTGCCTGCATTACAGACTGTTACATTGCACACTGCACTGAACAATTCATATATCTATATAAAGTAATTCTATCATATATCTATCGTCTATATCTATCTATCTATCTGTCATCTATCTGATTCCCTTTCTCTTTCTTTCTATCATGTATCTATCTATCTCTATCATCTTTTTTATCTATATCTTTCTATTATCTATTATCTATCTATCTGTCATCTATCTGATCCCCTTTCTCTTTCTATCATGTATCTATCTATCTCTATCATCTTTTTTATCTATATCTTTCTGTCTATTATCTATCTATCTCTATCATCTTTTTTATCTATATCTGTCTATTATCTATTATCTATCTATCTATCTATCTATCTATCTGTCTATAATCTATTTATCTAAAAGCCAGAAGGACCTGAGGGCAGTTTCTATGAATCTTTTTTTCTTCATATTTATAGTCCTAGGAACAACCACAGAGCTTGGAAAACACCCAAATGCCTTGAGGGTAGAGTCGATGACTTATTTCCATTTGTGTATTTCCTGTACCTATCAAGGCACTCAATTATATTGAATGAAAAACTGAATGGATACAATTTGTCTTCACAGACCAAGAATTCCCTAGCCCCTGTAAAACTAAGCTGGCTCTACTCTTCCTTTCTGGGGCTCACCATATCTAGCTCCATGCTTGCTGTTGTCCCGTGTGTGCGTTTGCTGTAACTGCTGTGTGTTTCCCATGTGTGTTGTGTGTCTCCCGCCTAAGTTCCTTTGGCATCCTTGCCAGCCCACAAGACCTAGACTCTGATCCCACCTCTCAATGAACTGTGTGTCCTCAAGTACATCAGAACCTCTCTGAGCTCTGCCTTTTTATTGTTAACGTAGAGAAAAATCTATGATGCCATTAGGCTTTACTGCAACCCCAAGAGCTCAGTACTGAGTGGAGTCTTGTGGTTGGTGAGGTGCTCTTGAGACTCTTGCCCACAACTTTTCTGCCCTTGAACTTGCTTCTGCCTTCTTGGCATGTGGCCAGGCCATCCCAGCCTCACACCCCACAGCGCAGAGGATCCCAGAGCACTCCCTGTAAACCCACAGAGGCCCCTGCAGCCTGCACACTTCCCAGATCTGAGCAAAGCTGGGCTTCTGGCTGCCTTGTCCTTGCTAGATCAAGCTCAGAGGTGCTCAGAGTCATGCTGGGAGGGTCTCCTTCCATCACCAAGAATGGAAGGCACTGACTGGGCCTGTGAGTTACAACCAACATCCTCAGCAGCCTCCTCCTATGGGGCCCTGGACCCCTCTAGCTCACCTGGCATCCTTCTTTCCCATGTCTACAGCCGGCTCCTTGCCTGGCATGAAACAGAGCAGGGGGTACAGCTGAGCCTTTCACGGCAGTTTTCTCTGCAGCATTTTAAACTGCTCATGGCAAAGTCTTTTCCCTAGAAAGAAAGGCCATTCTTGCCCCTCTCCTTCTCTCCAAATATTTGACTTTCAAAGGATATTTTTGAAGTCCCTGATACAAGCTACTGTATTTGTGCTATAACTACAGGGGCAATGGGTGCCAAAGGGCACCAGTCACCATTTCGGTGCTTGAGAAAAAAAGGACAGATCATATTTATTTATGTGTCTCTATTTGTAACTCAAAGTAGAACAAAGAAAGTGCTGAAAATGGTGGGTAAGTTATGTCGTGAGCAGCACAAGGCCAGGCATAGCCAAATCCACACACGTTTGTCTCTCTCCACAGGGTCAGACTTTACCAATGCTATTTCAATAATAAAAACCACGGGCTCTGTGGGGTTCCTGAGGAGGCAGTTGTCTTTAGGCCTCCCATGCACTCAGGAGTCAGAGCCACTGTGGCATGCAGGCTCAAGCCACTGCACAGGCCAGTCAACATTGCAAACCATGCATGATAGTATACTTAATCAATCTATAAATGTTATAGATGAGAGTTTTCACATCAAACAGAGTGACATTTAACATCAACAGAAAATGGGATAACGAACCAGTAAAAGGAACGTGGTGTGGACAAAGAGCACCTCTTGGGTGGATCCTGACAGTCCTCAAGGGAGAGTCCTTCAGGTGGACACTTCCTTTGGTGCTGATCACAAGTGACAGTAAGATGTGTATGGAGGTGGCTGTGTTGAGCTGGTGAGGTCTTGCTCTTTGATAGACCATGAGTCCTGTGGTGAGGACGATAGTAAAGGGTCACACCCCCATCTGATTGGATGCCATCTCTTGATTAGGTGCACATCTGGTCCCTGCTGGCATGATGCCTTTTGAAGTATAAGATGGGGTCATGTTTTAAGACAGAGTCACTTATGCCAATGATGCTGTATGTAATGTACCCTCATGTGACTGGGGGACATTATGTTAACCTGTGTAGGGGGTGCTTCTACCAATGACCTCAAAGATTAGAGATCTTCCAAAAAAGAAGGCCATGTCTTTATAACTCCCAGGGCACGGTATGTTGTAGACTCAAATATTTGCTGAATATTGGAGTTTTGAGAAAGGAAAGATCAAGTTTGATTTGGCTGACTATTTCCACTCTCCTAGAAAAAGTAGAAAGAATGTTTTACGGGCACTGAGGCACTCAATTGAAACCCTGGTATGGTTGCAGCAGACTATGTACAACCAACGCTCTGGCAGGAACTCGGCTGTTCAAAAAGTGGGGAAGAGGTTCCTGCTCATGGAGGCGGAGGCTCCTGCTCCCCTGCCTGGACTGTGCTTCCCCTGTGGAGCTTATTCCCCACTCAGGCCTCAGCTATGAGGCACCTGCTATGCCCACACTGTCTACACTGGCTTTCCCTGGTTACTCATAATTTTTACACTCCTTTTATAAATTTCATAGCACTTGATGTAACCTGAGATAACTTGGCTTATTCACTTTTTCTTGATTATTGCTGCATTTGTGCATGGGAATGTAGGCTCCCAATGGACCAGGCCCACGTCTCAGTCACTGCTCACCCCGAGTCCCTGATACAGTGTGGGGCTGGATGAGGCCTTCCATACCTGTGATTATCTGAGCTGACGGGAAGTAGCCAAACCCCTTTTGTGACCACAGTATGGAGGCCTCAGCTGTCACGACAGAGGGAGGCAGGTTTCCGGCATATGGCAGCTTGACAGTGCCCAAACAATCGGCTCCCCGTTCTCTTACGTCACTTCACAATGGCAGGGGCCTTTCCAGCACCCACTTCTAGGGCACACAGGGCCTTCCCGGCAAACACTCAAGATGATGCTTAGGTTTGGATCGAGATTTCTTTCTGAGGCCCTGACCCACATTCTGAGATAGAAGGCACTCTCCAGCGGCATTGTCTAAGTCTCCTATGTAAGACGATGTTGTCAAATATGGCAATAACCCAGCGATTATTTCTAATGCTCCTGAAAACTATGTACAGTAATCCCCAGCCCCACTTGCTAGCAGTGGATCTACAGGCTTACCTTTGGAGCCAGTGCCACCGGAATTTGGTCTTAGAATTTGTTGATTGCATTGTCCGAGTTAGAAGACTCACTCATGATGTGAACATGGGTTTTGCATCTCAGTTGATCTGTAAAATTCACAGCACCTCAGGAAATCTTTGAAAATTACAAATCTGATCACATCCCTCCTTTTCTCAAAGGGCTTTGATGACATCCCATTTTCCTGAGGATAAAATGTAAACTCCTTAGGTAGTTAAGAAGGTCTTCTAACACATCCCCTCACCTCCCCTCTTCTCACTCTCCTTATATCGTGGGTTCTGACCACGCAGACTTCTCTTCTGTTCTTAGGCAAGATTCATTGTCTCTGAGCTTTCACACATGGTGATCTTCCGCCTGGAACTGCACACTATTTTTTTTTGAGATGGAGTCTCACTCTGTCACTCAGGCTGGAGTGCAATGGGGAGATCTCAGCTCATTGCAACTTCTGCCTCCCAGATTCAAGCAATTCTCCTGCCTTAGCCTCCTGAGTAGCTGGGATTACAGGCGCCTGCCACTACGCCCAGCTAATTTTTTATATTTTTTGGTAGAGAGGGGGTTTTGCCATGTTGGCCAGGCTGGCCTCAAACTCCTGACCTTAAGTGAGGCACCGCACCTGGCCTAGAATTGTACACTTTTGTTTGCCTACACCTAATGGCTAATACCCATTACTGAAATCTCAGCATAAATGTCTTCTCTCCAGGGAGGTCTCCTGGGCCCACTGTCTGTGTCAGGACTCCTACTCTGGGCATCTCAGCAGCCTGTACTCACCACCATGGCAATCACGACATGTTATTATGTGTATCTATTTAGTGTCTACCTTCCCTGCTAACTGTGCATGTTCAGAGGAAAGGGGCCCTTTTGCCTCAATTCCTATTCCACCCCTCACACTAAACAGCATATTTGGCAAATGGAAGAATGAAGGAATAAATGAATGGGGACAGGAAGTTGGCCCAGGGGCTTTCAGAGGTGCTCCAGTTTTAGGACTCAATGATTTTCTCAGCTCCCTTGATTCCAGTTGGAACCTCTCCTAGTTCTTTTCCTAAGCCTTGCTCACTCGGTTTCTTACTTCTCTCTTTATATTAATTTGTTTACTTCTGAGCTCAAGATCTCTGTCAAATTATTCTTCATCAAGTCATCTGGCTCCTGGCTCATTACCAAATTAGCATTTTGAAAAACCACTCTGGCTTTGTGCATGCATGAGAGTACTCAGGTGCAGAAAGGGCTACATCGTGACGTGTGCACACTAGACAAGAGGGTGTGACATTTATATCAGTGACTACACGTCAATGTATAGGATTGGGTGCTTCAGAGCAAAGGACAGGGGCTCACGATTATTTTTCTCATTCCGTATCTGAGGGAGATAAGATTAATTCCATAAATATCAGCATTTTCTGTAGCATCAATTCCCAGGGAGACTAAAAAAGCCTGCCCTTGAAAGGAACCTACCAGCATCGGAACAGTTCTGCACCAACCCCTTCCTCCTTTGCAGAATTTTTATGAGAGCAGTATCTGCATTCAGAGTAGACTCTATGTGTTTGGTAGCATTTAGAGATGGTCGAGTGTCTTCATTTGTCTCTGAAATGGGATCCCACATAATATAACTTTGCAAGGGATAAATATTCTTAATATGATAAAATGACTATTTGTAATTTTTATTTGTTGATTAGTTACTGAGTTGTGCCAACTTTTTCTGGCAGGATTTAAAAATCCAGGCTGGTGTGCAGTGGCACAATCATGGCTCACTGCAACCTCTGCCTAGCAGGCTCAAGTGATTCTTGTGCCTCAACCTCCCGAGTAGTTGAGACCACAGGTGAGCACCACTAAGCCTGGCTAATTTTTGTGTTTTTAGTAGAGACGGGGTTTTGCCATGTTGCCCAGGCTGATCTCGAACTCTTGGTCTGAAGTGATCCTCCCTCCTCAGCTTCCCAAAGTACTGGGATTACAGGTCTGGGCCACTGTGCCCAGCTGTCAGTAAACTTTTTCTGTAAAGTGCCAGAAGGTAGAGAGAGTGTAGGCTTTGTGGGCCCATTCATATTCTTTGTAGCCACTACTTAGCTCTGTCATTGTAGTACAAAAGCAGCCATAGATAATGCACAAATAACATGCATGGCTGTGCTCCAGCAAAGCTTTATTACAGCAGTGGGTGGTGGGCTGGATTTGGCCACTGGGCTGTAGCTTGCTGATTCCTGCTTATAAAGGTATTGATACTCAGTAAACACCCCTTAATATAGTCTCCTTTTATAAATGTTCTCGTTACATGTGAAAAGAATGTTTAGTACACTGCTGGAGTGTTCTATATGTGTCAATGAAGTCAGCTAAGGTATAGTGTTGTTCAAGATGTTTATGTCCTCAATGTGTGTTTGTGTTTTTATTGTTTGTTTTTGTCTTTTTGTCTCCTTGTTCTAGCAATTCCTTAGGGGAGCATTAAAATCTCCATTGATATTGTGTGTGTGTGTGTGTGAGTGTGTGTGTGTGTGTGTGTCTAATTCCACTTTTTCTGACTTATTTCTTTCTTTTTGGTTCTACTAGAATTTGCTTCAGATATTTCAAATATCTGTTATTAGGTACATAATCATCTATAATTATGTCTTTTTAATGAATTAACACCTTTAAAATAAAATTCCATTTTTCTTCTTAGTTATATTCCTTGTTTTGAAATCTACTTTGTCTATTAACATAGCTACTCCAGCTTTCTTTTGATTCATCTTTTTACGATATTTATTTTCCCACCTTCTTACTTTTAACATAGCTACAATTTAAAGTATGTTTCTTGTATCCAGAACATAGTTTTACTTTTTGAACCAAGCTAGTAATCTTTGATTTTTTCTTTTGATGTTCAGCCACTTATATTTAATGTAATTGTTGATTAGTTTAAATGTACTGTTTTGCTGTTTTTTTCCTGTTTGTCCTATCTGTTCTTTATTCTTTTTTCTCCTTTTCCTGCCTTCTATTTGATTACTTGAGTACTTTTTTATGGATTCATTTTATCCCTCATATTGATTTATTAGCAATACAGGTTTCATTTAGTGTTTCTCTAGAGTTTCCAACATATGATTTAATTTATTGCAGTCTACCTTCACTTGGCATCATCCACTTCACCTGCAGCATAAGATACTTAAGACTGTAGACTTCCACTTTCCATCTTCTGTCCTTTGTGCCACTGTTGTTAGACATTTTGCTTTTACATGTGGTGGCTCTGAAATATGTCCTCTCAAAAGATGGAGTGTAATTCACCTCCCCTTAGTGTGGCCTGGACTTAATGACTTTCTACTAGAGTTTAGAACATGATAGGAATGTTGGTGTGTGACTTCTGACTAAGTCATGAGCACTTCAGCCTCTGCCCTGTTTTCTGTCTTGGATTCCTCACTCTGGGGAAGCCAGCTGCAGTGTCATCAGGACACTCACGTAGCCCATGTGGAGAGAAATAGGCCTGCTGCCAACAGCCAGTGAGGGTCTGAGGCCTCCCACCAACAGCCAGTGAGGTGGAAGCAGATTCACCAGCCACAGTTGAGCCTCCAGATGATGGTATCCTTCACTGACTCCATGACTACAACCTCATAAAAGACTTTGAGCTAGAACCACTCAGTTAAGCCACTTCCAAACTCCTGACACTTAATAGTTGCGACACAACAAATGTTTGTCATGTTTGGCCACTAAGTGATTAGTGTATTTTGCGATGCATCAATAGTGAATACAAACTAACTTTCATTGTTATCATTTTTTAAGCAGTCAATCATCTTTTAAAGAGATTATAAATTTCATATTTAACTACATATTTTCCATTTTTCCAATGCTCTCATTCCTTTTTGTTTGTGAAAATTTCTATCTAGTATTATTTTTCTTCTACTTGAAGAACCCTGGTGATTTCTTGTATCCGCTGGCAAAGAAACTGTGCTAGGATTGGGGCAAAACACATTATTATACAGAGAATTATAATTGGGATAAGGAAAGGGAGCATCTGTTGAGCCACGGTTGAAAACCACCAAGAAGGACCAGGGTGGAGGGTCGTAGGAGTGTTTTAACTCCTCTTGGAGCTTTTTTTTTTTTTTAAAGTTTGTAAACTGTTCTCAACTACCCCTGACTCATTGAGATAATAGCAGCATTCTTCCTGTAAGAATAAACATGTCCTTCCTTTTTCTGCCATAAGCAAGTCTAAGGCCTGCCTGTTCTGTGCTGCGACCTGTGCTACTGTAGTGATCTGTCGCTGTAGGGAGTCCAGGGACTCGGCCGATGCCTCAATGGCCAACTGCAGGTGAGTAGACAGATCTTGAGATGTTTGGATTGAGTGGGTGAGGGCTCCTTTTCCTAGCCCTGATGCCACTAAGGAGGAGGCTAAGGAGATGCCTAGTACTAAGGGTAAGAAAATAGCCCATTTGCTTTTATTTTGTGGCCTTGGCTCGGTCCAGGCTAGCAGATGGCTAAGTTCATCCTGACTATATAGGGTCAGGCCAGGGATGAGAGAGATGGGTAAGCACAAGGTGTGATTACCAGTTGAGTTAAGAACTTTAGTTAGCGTGGAGTTACACCAGAAGTAGCCTCTGGGCGGTGCCGGGGTGCTGGTAAGCATCCTAGTCTGGTTACACCAAGAGGCATTTGGGGTAGAGTAACAGAATGGGAACTTATGTCTTATAGGGTCTGAGAATAGTGGGACCTGTCCTTTTGGGACCGGTGGTATAGGGGTTGATGAATTTATAGTATAATTAAAGGGGGTAGGGAGAGGAACTGCTACTAATGGAGGTCTTCTGAGGGCTGCACAGAGGAAGCAGTGGGAGAGGTTTTGTACCCCTGTGGATTGGAGCAATTGTGCACCTTCTGAGATTAAAGTTAACCACGAGAAGCGGGAGGACTTGGCCTGGTCAGCTGCCGGTTGAAGCTGGCTGGTAAGCTCTTTCTCGGCTGACTGGATTGAGGAGGCTAAGTCGGATAACCCTGTGACAGTGGTTTTAAGGGTCCTGGCAATGCGGATCTTAGCTACTGGATACATAAAAGTTTTGTGCTCATATAGTCCTCCATCTACACCGGAGGCCCAGCGGGGGTCCCAAGGGTCAGAAATTTGGAGGTTAAATCCGTTAAAGCCGTCCCGTCCTCCAGTGGAGGTATTGACATAGAACATTGGGTCAGATCCTTTTTCAGTACGAATTAATGCCTCATGGATATTGCACCAGTGCCACGGACAGCCTACATTTTCTTTGACCCAGCTGGTATTGCATTTGGAGTTACTTTGATCATAGAGGAAGCAAAGTGCAGGGTTTTTTCTAGCCGGGCCTAGGGAAGAGAATTTTAGACCTAGGAAAGCTATGGGTGCCTGACACCCTGCTGGCGGGGATGCTGCCGTGGCTACTAGTCTAGAGGACACTGCCTGTCTGGAACTCCAATTCTCAGTGAGGGAAGAAAACCCAGTGAGAGGGAGTCTGAGAGGGGGCTTGTCAAAGCGAACTTCATGTTGGTGAAAGTTCTGGAGGGAGCCTTGCCATACCAGTTCGTCTATATAGGACAACAGATTTTCAGGCCAGTGAAGGGTGTTAGCAAAACTAGGGAATGACCAGCTTTCCTCGAGAAGAACCTGAATAAATTGTTGGAGCCTGTCACATGGAGAATTCATGCGGTATTTGATGGAGAGAGTTTCAGTTTGGTTGGGGAAAGGGAGGTGACAGTCCAAGTGGCCTGATGTTGTGTAGGTGCCTTCTTAAGATGGGAAATATGGTACCAGGAGGGAAGGCCTATAAGTTTAGCTGCCGTCGGTGTTGTAAGAATTACCGTATAGGGGCCTTTCCACTGGGGGGAGAGACCTCTTGCCTGGAGGTCTTTTACTAGTACCTGATCTCCTGGGGTTATTATGGCCGGACTGTCTGGGCTGAGTGGTCCGGGCTTTGGAAGGCTGTGGTCGGTGTGTTCTCTTAGCAGCTCCCTTAACAGGGTGAGGTAGGGCAGGTACGTGCCAAGAGGTGGGTTATTCACAGGGAGCTCTTGAAAGAGGAAGGGGCGTCCATATAGGAGTTCAAAGGGGCTAAGGCCTGTGGGGCTTCGGGGTGCTGCCTGGAGCCGTGCGAGGGGAAAGGGAAGTAAGGTTACCCACGATTGGCGCTTCTCGAGAGCCAATTTGATTAGGTGTTGTTTGACAAGGCCGTTGGCGCATTCCACTTTTCCAGAAGACTGCGGATGGTATGGAGTGTGTAGCTTCCAGTTAACGCCAAGTGTGGTTGTCACCTGTTTGACTATTTTGGAGATAAAAGCAGGCCAAATCTCGGGATTATCTGTTCAATGAGGGTTGAAGCTACTACCTCTGCTGTTTTATGGGTGGTAGGGCAGGCTTTAATCTAACCTGAGAAAGTGTTTACTAAAGTAAGAAGATAACTCGATGTATTTGCTTTAGTAAGGAATAGAAGGAAGGATGGTAGATTATGGGTTCAAGAAAGTTATATAGTGGTCTAGGCGGCAGGGCAGTGAAGGCGTCTGGCGGTAGGTGGAGGGAGTGCCATCAATCCTTATAACAGAGATTGAGGAGGGGCGGCTGGGCCTGCTAAAAGATGGCAAAACAGAGTAGGTAGCCCTTGTGTCTAGCAAAAAGGAAATGGACTTACCCGCTACCTGAAGCATTACCCTGGGCTCGGCAAGGGTGAGAGGGGTTCCCGAGCCTGGGCCTCTTCAGTCGTCATCCAGTTGGAGGAGCTAGAGGGCACCTTCGCCATCCAGGGAGGGGTCGCCATGTGGAGCCACAGCGGCCGCTCCGAGGCTGGGGCAGTCTGACCTCCAGTGCTCCATTTGTTGGCAGTTAGGGCACGGGTGTGTTGGCGGCTTGGGGTTTGGGCACTGTTTTGCCCAATGACCTGGATTGCCACACTTGAAACAGTTGCAAGGCGGGCAGGACGGTTGCTGTTGGCTAGGGCACCGGCTGGCCCAGTGTCCTGAGTTGCCTCACTTGAAGCAGACGCCAGACGGGGCCCGGGAGATTGTACCTCTACCTCTCCTGCCGCGGCTCTTAGGGAATGCCGGTTGCAGGGCAGCTGCCAGGGCTTGGGTTTGGAGCTGAACTTTTTGTTTCAGGCTTGCCTGTCGTTGTACCTCAGCCGCCTCCTCTCAGGAATTAAAAACTTTGAACGCCAGCTTTACTAAGTCCTGGATAGGGGTTTGGGGGCCCTCCGCTGCCTCATCCAGGATTAGTGGATATCACTGCCCGCAGCGAATGTGTTAGGAGTTGTAGATGCAGTGGACTGGTATGGCACTATAGGCAGGTGGAAATAAGAATGCGGGTAAGATGGAAGCCAAGGAGTTAGCTGGGCAGGGTTAAAAGAACAAATGGGAACTAATGGGAATTAAAATGGCAGCCGAATGGTGGCAGAAGAACTAAAATGGCAGCAGAGAAAAAAGGAAGTAAGATGGCGGCAGTGAGGAAGCAGGTAGTAAGATGGCGGCAGTGCAGAAGGAGATGGCGGCAGAGAGACTAAGATGGGGGCCCCGGACAGGATTAACGGCAAGAGAGGCTGGCCAGACTTCAAGGGGAAGGCTAGCCACAGGGACTTGTGCCAGCGAAAACACTTGGCGGCAGCGGTCCGACGAGAGCGGAGGTCCCAGAACCTTTGAACAAATTTGATTTTTGACTATTTGCCTCGCCTCTGACAAAAATTGGTAAGGTCGTTTAGGATATTGAAGTCGAGTGTGCCTTTGGGGGGCCAGCGAGATTGGTTGTCCAAGGTATATTGCAGCCAGGCAACTGTGCAGAAGAAAATTAGTCGCTTTCATTTTAAATCTTGATTGAGTTGTAAAGTTGGGAGGTTGCGCAGAAGGCACCCTAAGGGGGTGTTTTGCGTGATTTTGGACTGGGTGGACCCCATCCTCTTCCCCTTATGGCAGCGGTCTGAGGGACAGCAGAAGCATCCCTCTGGGGTCACTCAGACCACGCGGCTCCTGGAGCCTCGGATCGGCTACTTCAGACATGGACGTCTCTGAGTCGTCAGTGCCGATTTGGACTTCCCCTGGGGAAGTAAACTTGGGTCACCTGGTGACCCGGACTGGCCTTCCCTTGAAGAAGGAAACTCTCCCTGGGTGTGCGCATGACTCTCGGCCAGGGAGGAACGGACAAAAGGAAAAAGGAGGGGTACTCACCTAGCGTCGGCCGAATTGGACTGGAGTAGCTGCAGCAACTGCGACCTGGCAGCAAGTAACCGGACGAAATGGACAGATGGCCGTGGAGGAGAAGCCTGACCTGACTGAGGGAGAGGACTGATCCGACCAGGAGGGGAGTCCCCCTGAGCCTCTGGGGGGGCTTAGGAGGTGTCCCCTCCCGGGTTTCGGCACCAATGAAAGGCAATGGAAGGGCACCATGGATCAATAAGGCTGAGAGGTGAGAAAAAGAGGGCAAAAATCTTCTTTATTGAGCCCTCGGGCGAGGTTCACTGGTCCGCAGGGGGAGGGCCAGGGAAGTCGCGCTGTGCCAAAGGTGCAGCATGCTTTTATGGATGCTGGGTGAGGAGTGGGTGGGGTAGGGGCGGGGTCGGTTGAGTTTCGCGCTTCTGAGTGTGACACGCCCTAGTGGGCATGCACGTTAGTCGGGGTGGTGGGAATAGGAAAGGTGAACCCGGAAATGCTGAGTCAGGGTATCCGAGGTGGCAATCACCATCTTGGAGTCTTCACCGGAGTCCAATCAATTTCTTATAGTAAAAATCTGGTGGTGATTAATTTTATCTCAGTTTCATCCTCTAAAAAGTGTTTAGCCTTTAGTTTTCAAAAAAATCTTTTCATTTGGTACTAATTTAAATCTCATAGAAGTTACAAATTTAATACCAAGATTTCCCATATACCCTTTATCCAGTTTCCTCTATGATAACACCCTAAACATAGCACATTTATCAAAATGAGAAAACTGACATTACAACAGTACTATTAACTAAACTAAAAATTTAATTTGGATTTCACCCATTTTTACATGCACCTGCTTTCAGGGGCATATCATTCTCTGAGGTTTCATCACATTTATGGACTGGAGTAGCCACCACCACCACAGTGGGGGCTCTCTTTAATTTCCCCTGTTGTGCTGGGACCTGAAACTGCTTCAGGCTGTAATCTGGGGTTATGAGCAGGGTTATCTCATTTTTTTTTCTTTTTTTATGGTTCATATTTTTATACTGTCAAGGTTCAGTGCCTGAAAGTTATTATTACAGATATATTCATCCAGTTTTTGACTTGATTTTAGTGGAAAGAGAAATATGATACCTGCTATTTATTATGGATGGAAGTACATGTATACATGCAGGAAAAAATTTAATTGCTCAACTAACTTTCTCGGACACAGGTAATGGAGCTGACGAGCTGTCAGGCTGGTCTGTCTCTTCTATTGGAAGAGCAGCAGCTGGAACTTTGAATTTCCTCCTCTTTACTGGATCCCATATTAATATGTACATTATCCCTTAAATGGCCTACTGTTATCTCCTGATTTCCTGCATCAATCTATTTCCCCAAGTTAGAATTAGGTGAAAACGCCTCTCCGAATCATCTCCCATTTTTGGTTTTACTCTCCTGCTTTCGGGGGACTTTCTTTTAATTCTACTTTTTAATCAACAGGCAGTTTTTATTCTTATCTTCAGCAATGTCAGTTTCAAGATGATCTCAGGCTTGGTTCCTTGGTTACATAAATATTCTCCATCTAATGCTATTGTGTCACCAGGCATTTACAGAAATCCAATTCTCAGAGAATGTCAAAATTGATGAGATTAAATGTTAAGAATGACAGTCATCTGATTTTATAGCTGACAGAAAGAGTAAAGGTTATTAATTATACAAAAATATTTCTGGAAGGATAGTCAATGTCAAGACAAACTACCCACTGTAGTGAGATTTGGAGGCTTGAGGAAGGGTCATAAAAGGAAAAAGAACGATGTGTTTGCCTCAAGTTTAGTTAAAGTTGCTGACAAGCAGAATGAACAAAATAATACAGACGGATATATTTATTGCTTTATTTCTGGGTCTCTGTGGTTCTGAAAAACTAATTTCTCCTTCCCGTTTACTTGCCTGTCATTTGAGCATGATCACTCACGATTTATCTAAACTATGGAATTATTGTGATGATGAATACAAAAGTGTTTTGAAATTTTTTTTTTTTTTTTTAGTTTCTTACATTTCTTATTATGGGAGAAGGTAGTCATAAATACGAGCTACAATCATGTAGCCAAAATATCTTCACAGATGGGTGTTTTAGTGAAAGGCTGGGGATTGTAGCTAAGCTACATAGGTATCATTAGCCCATCGCAGTGCACCCCCGTGAACTCAACACCAGACATAACTCCTCAGACCATACGTCATCTCTAACTGAAAAGTCAATAACAAAGTCGTATTTCTAACCAGCATGACACAGCTATCCTGCTTAGAACAAATACAAGCTCACCCTTTCCCCAGAAGAGAACACAGAGTTTTGGGTGAAGTCTATTCTAACATTACAATCTCCCTAAGCATTTGGGCCCCTTCCTGTACAGCATACCAAAGCCGTTGTGGCATTTCAACTTCATCTAGTTGAGCTACCTCTGGGTCCACATTTCAGCCAACCAGCCAACCCATCAGCCAAACAAATGGCCAGAGCTCCTTCTCACCCCTTCAGCTACAACGTTAAGTCCAGAATCGCTGCTTGCTAGGGCACATATCAAGAGATTTGACTTCATTCAACTTGGTGTTTCTTGCTTCACTATCTCATGCTCTTAATATCCATCCCCATACACATTCCTGGGATTTCTGTTTGTATAAATTGGAAAAGTCATTTAGTTCTTTTGGAGCACAGTACCCTGTCTCATGTGTCACTTTGTACCTCACCTTTTGAGGCTGGGACTTCAGTCTAGTTATGGATATAGAAGCTAAAAAGATGGTGGGATAGGCTCTGAAGAGAATTAGCAGAGCTTTGCAAGGCAACTACCACAGAGGAGGCCATTGCACTTTCCTCAGCACAGAAGGTTTGACATTCCCCGACAGGGGTGGAAGGGCTGCTTCTATTGGCAAAGAAGGCTCAGCAGAATTTAGGGGCTCCATGCTGCCACTTCATCAGGATCTGCCCATTGGTACCATTCCAATATTCAGGATCCAGATTCTTCCCAATCAATGCTCTCACTTGAACAGAAGATGTTCCGTGAGGCTGAGAATTCAATTTATATTGTAATTCAGCCACTCCCAGAATGAGAGTTTCAGAAATCTGGGCTCTGTAGCTCTAGGAGATACAGGTTTCTTTAGGCAAGATACAGATCAGGTTTTCTATACACTACATCATCAGGAAGTTCAAATCCCAAAGTTCATCCTTTTCTTTCTTCACTTTTTCAGTGCAGTTGGGAGCAACCAGCCGGCCCTACCTACCCCTTAGTTTGACTAAAATATTCTAAGGTAGCAAATACCTGCTTACCCAGAAACTTGTCTTTTGTAAGTATTTGATTACGAGTATCCAATGTGATATTTTGGCATCCAGCTATGAGCTACCAGTGCCCTCTTCCACACTGGATGTAGCCATTATTGCCTTTAACTCTAATCAGATTAGAGAACCAATCCCAGAAAATCTGGAACCAGATTATCCTGAGCACGAGATTTTTAGAAAACTCATGCTTTAGATAACCTTCTAGCACCAACCCCAGTACTAAAAGCTGTATTAGGATTTTACTAGAGAAAAAAAACCATCAGGAGACATATATGAAGAGCCTTATTGCAGTGAATTGGCTTTCATGACTGTGGGGCTGTCTAGGCAACTCCAACTCCATAGGGTGGCCCAACAGGAGCTCCCATGCATGGGCTGGAGCTACTGTTTAAGGGGTGAATTTCTTCTTCTACAGAAAATTATCAGCTGTATGGATTTGTTGCATCAGGTCCAACCAGTTTATTCAGAATAATTTCCCTTACTTGAAATCAACTGATTATGGACTTTAATCTCATCAGTGGATATATTCACAGCAACACCTAGATTGGTACTTGATTGAGTAACTGAGGTCTGTAGTCCAGCCAGTGGACATACTAAAAGACCATCACATCTAAATTTTTAAAATCCAGATTCTTGGATGTTACCTAAGTGTTCAGTAAAGACTGTTTTTTCAGGCTTGGCCTAAAATTCTGAAGTTTAAATTACTGTCCGCTAGTTTTCATACAGGCATCCTGAGAGAAGACTGTGGCAGATGTTTGAGAGTTTGAGATCTACAAATAAATAATCTATATGATGGTCAGGCACAGTGGCTCATGCCTGTAATCCAAGCACTTTGGGAGGCCGAAGCGAGTGGATCACTTCAGGTCAAGAGTTCAAGACCAGCCTGGCCAACATGGTGAAACCCCATCTCTACTGAAAATACAAAAAATTAGCCAGGTTTGGTGGCACGCACCTGTAATCCCAGCCACTCAGGAGGCTGAGGCAGGAGAATTGCTTGAACCTGGGAGGTGGAGGTTGCAGTGAGCTGGGATCAGGCCACTACACTCCAGCCTGAGCAACAGAGTGAGACTCTGTCTCAAAGAAAAAAATGTATACGATTAAAGAAGTAACTTTCTGGCTAAATAGACATTGTGCCTTTGGTTAGCTTATAGATATGGTGGTTTTAAAACCCCGTGTGTGTATGTGTGTGTGTGTGTGTGTGACAAAGAGGGAGAGAATGTGCACTGGAAATGGTACAGGACTGACACTGCTGCCACTCTGTGGTTCTTTGAATCTTTGGACAGTGTTAACAAACCTTGGGATGGAAGAAATGAAGATGATGGGTGAGTCAGGCAGCATCCATTAAGCCCTGAAGCTACACAGCAGTAAAATGTGCAGTTGGCACAAGACAATAAGGAGTGGAGTACACTAGCCATATAATGAACAAAGAGTGCAATCCCTATCCATTTCCCCTATAAAAATACCCAAGTACACTTGCTAGGGTGAACCATACGATCTCAAAATTTCTAGGGTTTCTTTCTGTTTCTTTCTCTTCTGCATGACTGGCCTAGGGATAGTGCTGTACTCAGGAAAGGCTGAGGCTTTTGAAAGCTGGTGGCCATTTTTTAGGATCTATCCTCAATCTTCAAATTCTGTAAGTTCAGTTCTAATCTTACCTCCTCTATGAAACCTTGTGTAATACCTCATGCTTATTATTCTCCTTCTCTAAATTGTCGGGGAGACAGGATATGGCGTGTTACTTTCTAACTGCTAGTTGTGCCTTCTGGTCTATAACCACAAGTTTTGAATGTATACTTGTTCCTATTAAACACTGTTGGGAGGCTAATCATAAGAAAAGGAGGGAGGGAAGTGGGTGTCTTTCTTCAGTGATAAATTTAAAGACAGGATTGATGATCCCTCACCTGGTTGTGATTTATGGGGTTAAGAGGGCCATTTGGGAAATCTGTTCTTGGTGATGAAGACGTTGACTTGTAATTGGAGTCACGGAAGGGCATACAAGGTCTGGGTATGCAACATGAGAGCTCAGCTTTGTTCTGGGAATAGGGTAGAATAACAATATGAAAATCACTTACCATTGAGAAATACTGGTTACAATTTATCAGATACTTTCTCAAAAAATTGAGAAAGTTGAACTTTCTTTTGGTCTTTTTTTTTTCCTTTTAGTGGAGAACAGCATCTTGCTATATTGCCCAGGCAGATCTTAAACTCTGGGGCTCAACTACCTTCCCACCTCCGCCTCCCTAAGTACTGGGATTACAGGCATGAGCCACTGTGCCAGACCATAGTCAAACTTTTGATAAAGAAAATGCCCATGTGACAAAAACAAAGAAGGACTGAGAGTCAGACTGGAAAAGACATAAATCAACTCTATTTCTGGCCTATGGTTGGGGATGGGATGGGTGGGATCCATCAAAAATCTTAGAGACCTGGAGCTCAATGATCGTCTCAAGGGACTATGTGACTCAGAAAGCTGGAACGTCAGAAAGGAAGGACTCCAGAAAAACATATAGCAATATATGGTGAAGGCGAAGCTCCATAAAGCAAGGACCCCGAAATTCCACTACTAGAAAGTTACTCTGAGACTCTCATATTTGTGATCAAGAGGACATGTACAAGAGTGTTTGCTAGCAATGGCCCCACAATGGAATCCACCACTTTACAGTCCAGTGGAAGAAGGATGGATAAACAAGCATGGTGCTTAATACAATAGAATTCCATACAGCAGTAAAACAAATGAACTGGAGCCTCTACACAGCATGGATGGGTCTCATAAGGAGTGAAAAGATATGTTACAAAAAAGTACACGTGATAAATACAAACTATATGTAACATTTAATCAACATGAAAAAAGAGCATTCTGTATGAAGAAATGAAATAAATAAACACCAAACTGGGGCAGGGGTTTCTTTAAGGGTGATGCCTTGGTACAGTGGAGAAACAGAAGGTAATTTCAGAAGACTATTTAAGTGCTTTATTTTTCATTTGTGTGATAAGTTCCTGAGTCCTTAATATATCATATATTAATGTGTTGATCCTATGTTTTGTTAATTCAGGAATATGTAATGAAAACTTACATTCTCATAGTTCATCAACTGGATGGCTCTAGAAATATAGATTATTTTTCTGAAACAATGTGTCTTTATGTATTTACAGGGTCGAATATTAGTTTTAGGAACATACAGGGTGTGCACACTCGTAAAGTTTTTAAAGGTCTCCTGCTCTGGTGCTTGCTGGGATCATCTTTAAAAGTTGAGGATGGGCCCGGTGTGATGGCTCACGCCTGTAATCCCAGCACTTTGGGAGGACAAGGTGGGCAGATGACCTGAGGTCAGGAGTTCAAGACCAGCCTGGCCAACATGGCGAAACCCCATCTCTACTAAAAATACCCAAATTAGCTGGGTGTTGTGGTGAGAGCCTGTAATCCCAGCAACTGGGGAGGTTGAAGCAGGAGAATTGCTTGAATCTGGGAGGAGGAGGTTGCAGTGAACTGAGATCGCGCCACTGCACTCCAGCCTGGGCGACAGTGCGAGACTCTGTCTAAAAAAAAAAAAAAGTTGAGGATGAGGAATTGTAATATCATTTGCCTCCTTTCCCCATAAGTAAAAAAGGACAATATTTGTGAAATTATAATGTGTTCATCAAAGCACTTTGATAGGTAACTGGGAAAGCTATTAGCTTTGAGTAGAGCCCAGAGCAGGGGAAAGTCATGCAATTACCTGCATGATTGATTGTTGCATGGCTGCAGTGCAAAAATTTTTTCTCCAGCCACTACGGCAGCACATCCAATGGCATTTAATGTGTCAGAGACATAGCAGGATGCTGTGTGGAGCCTGTAGCAAGAGCCTAGGTATATGGAGCAAATCTATCCCTTCTTTGGCAAATAACATTCTTCTTTGGAGAAATAGCTTAGCTTGCCACTAAGCTGACTGTGAACACCAGAAAGAACTCAGTGACATCTGAGCCTTCCAGATGTTGAGTTTGCCCAACAGCTCTCGTTGATCAAACAGAAATGGTATGTGGCAACTTTGGGAGTAGAATCTAAAGTTTCAGGCAATTTGTGAGAATACCTCTCTGATAAACAGAGTGGCTGGTCCTGATGCACTGTTGCTCCTCCCTCAACAAGCACCTGTGCCTGCACATCTGTAAGAAATTATTCATGGATGTGGACTGAAAAAGACAAAATGAAGCCAAGTTTTGATACGGCTCTGCACAACACGCTGATAACAGCCATGGGCTGCTGTGCCATTGTAAATCTCCAAAGAACTGGGTCGGGGGAAGACTGTGTCCTCTTATGCCTTCACCATCATTCGTGGACCTGATGTCAGGTCCCAGACTGTTTTGGTTTTTGTCAAGAAATTTTCAGACTGTTTTGGTTTTTGTCAATAAATTTTATTTGTGGCAAAAAAATGTGAGGCAATGAGCAGATGCTCATGGGATTCCCCGATCTTATCCAACAGCTTAGCCTCCAGAAACTGTTAACCTTACAGAATAGAATGACTCTTAAATATTTAGAATGTCACATAAGGCCAGGCGCAGTGGCTTATGCCTGTAATCCCAGCACTTCGGGAGGCTGAGGCCAGCAGATCACCTGAGATCAAGAGTTGGACCCCGGCCTGGCTAAGATGGTGAAACCCTGTCTCTACTAAAAATACAAAATTAGCAGGTCATGGTGGTGTGTGCCTGCAATCCTAGCTACTCGGTAGGCTGAGGCAGGAGAATCACTTCAACCCAGGAAGCAGAGGTTGCAATGAGCTGAGATAGCACCATTGCACTCCAGCCTGGGCAAAAAGAGTGAAACTGTCTCAAAAAAAAAAAAAAAAAAACAGCAAGTCACGTAAAGTCGGATACAGTGAAATGGTGAATAATCCATAGTTATTTTTCTATCATAGCCAGAATACATTGGTCTAGGAACAAAATAGCGAATGTTAAGGATGGGTCCTGACAGTTATATCTAAAGACCCACATGCAACTAGTCTTTATTTCCTTTTCCACTAACTATGGACTTAGCTGAATTAGAGGTTTTAGAACCTAAGGGAGAAACGTTTTAACAAAAGACAAAAGAATAATTTCTTTAATTTGGAGGCTGAGATTGATATTTGGGGATTTGGGAATCCTCATATTTCTGAGCAAACAAGAAACAGGGAGTTAAAGAGTTGGTTGGTTGGGTGATTGTTTCTGATTATGAAGGGAAAAGGGCATGCCACTTAATAATGGAGGCAGAGAGGAGTAGGGATGAAAATCACTCTCTTGGGAAATGACCCTAAATCTTCATGAGCAATGGAAATGGCAGGAAAGATTAAGTCTGTAGAATTTGGAAGGAAGTCGCTGGTACTGTCTCTGTAATTCTCTCTCAGGCCCAGAATTTCTTGCCGTTTATTACACTGTAAAGTGGGAGCATACACAGATGTGGAGTGAGGAAGATAGCAAAGCCCTCTTAAACACATGTTTGGATCATGGACAGACACAGGACTTCATAAGAAGAGTTCACCATGCATGGCGTGGACACACTCCAAGCTGTTCACACTGGCTTGTTTCCAAATGGGCACAAATCCCCTCTGCATACCCAAGTGAATGATCATCTCCAGTGCAGTGGCTGAGCTACGCGATTCTCCCATAACTGTCATGTTGATGGTAAAACAACCTGAAGAAATGGTGAGCACACCATAAAGACTTAGGAATTGGCCTGTTTGTCATGTCATGATTACTTTTATTTATAGTAGACCAGCTATGTAGGTTTTCTGAATGTATCGTATAGTTGTGCCCCATAATATGATAGAGATAACTCATTTGTAGTTCAACACAAGGATCTCCAGACTGCATTTTCCCTCCAGCAAGTCGATTTGTTTTGGCTAGTCTCAGGAAACTATGGTGAGCAGAACAGCAGCTCACACTGACATTTGCTAGGACTGAAGCAGTCTGAAAAATTACCTTTCAAACTCTTTCTGGAGGACTGGCAAGGTGCTGGGGCACAACCTGAAGTGCTGGGGAGGGAAATGCAAATCAGCTACCTTTTGGGCTCTGCCAATGAGGAGCGTGCAGTGTTACGTTATATTTCAGATGTGCTTTCTAAGCAGGGTTTTTCACATGTGTTTTGAGATATTCTGGTGCGGCATAGAGACTCTTTTCCTGAGTTGCAACTTTTCTTTCATGTCTGTGCTGAGAGTGGTGAAATATGTACTGATGCAATCAGGGAAACAGTGGTGAAACAGGATATGGGTTTTGGAGAAACCCCAGTTCAAATGCCGCTCTTTGATTTACTGGCCATAAGAAAACTGCAGTTCTCTTGTTTGTAAAGGTGGCAAATACTATTTACATTATGAGATTATTGGGAGGTTTAATGGAGAGCTTGTATTAAAATACCTAGTGTAAGTAGACAACCAATAATTCTTCGGTTCTCATTTCAGGACTTTTATTTCTTTCACTGCACCATAATACATTGTCTTGGGCTGAAGAATTTTAACTATTAGGAAGTGCTTCTATAAAGAAAGTGGAAGAGAAAAAGGTATCTACTTAAATTTTAATAATGCATTTGGTTATTCTTCCTGTTCCAGAGAAAAAGCCTGGTTGGTTATCATTTCCTTCCAACTATCCTTCACACTTCACTGCACCCATGAGTAAAATTTGTGTAATGAATGCACTGGGTCTGAGCAATATTGATGCCACTGTGTACAAGAAATAATCAAGAAGTTAACAAAGCAACGATGGCGTCTTTGGTAAGTACAGTGCTTAACTTCAGAAATAAAAGTTGAAATACCATGACATCAAACGTTCCCAGCAAAAGCACTCAGAAAAATGAGAGCATAAAGTTTCAAGGAATGGAAGAAGACTGTTTTCCCTCTTATGAGACACAGTCTGTTAAGAAAGGGAGATTGTGAGTGCCTTCGTTTCAACTTCTTGGCCCCTCCCTTGGGGCTTGGGATCTCCCAGGTCAAATGGTCAGCCTGCAGGTAGGCCAGCTCTGTTCTGCGACCCTGGCTTCAATTCAAGGAGCAAAGAAGTTGTCACTTCTTTTTGTTTCAATCTCAGTCCCAAGCTTTGTTCTCCACACTACTTTGCCATCAAAACAGCTGTTATCCTATTTCCAATTTGACTCCGTTGTTTGTATTTATACTTCAGCAGTCAGAGATCTAAAGGGGAGAAGAGAATGAGGTAGGTAAATGGTAGGATGTGGGATCCAAAGATAGCCTATCTTCAACATCCTGCAATATTAAAACTGGAAGAAGTGAAGCCTCCTTATGTGATGAGAAAAATGCAGATCAGCTGGGCGCAGCAAAGCACGCTCGGTCACACAGCATGCCAGGGCCAGAGACACAAGTAGACGTCCGCACGACAGCACAGGTGAATGATCTTTTCCCAAGGCCATCCTACTGTGACTTTGCACCATCTGCCATTGCTCTGCTCTTTTCTCTAGGTTAAAATTTTCCAGAATTTCTAAGCCCTCTTTGTGTTGTTTTCCCATGTTTAGCATCGTGGTTACTGTCCTTTGTTTGTGCTCTCATTTGCTAACGCTCATTAATTTTGTGCCCTCACAGAGAGGGCATTGCCACAGACACACTTCAGCCTAATGAGAGGAGTCCAGGATGATGAACTCTTCAATCTGGATGATGTACTTCTATGGGCAACATGTAAGAACAGATCAGCTTTTGTGGTTGTTGATTAACATCGAGCTTAATGCCGAACACATTTAACTTGTCTATGTCATGCCTTCAAAGTCCTCAGAGACATACACCATCAACCTGAACATTGATTCTTAATGTGATGAATTCTTTCCATGATATAATAATAATAATAATAGAACAGTAGTAAAGACTGATACTTATTCTTTGCTTTGTGCTAGACATTTTACACATCATGCTTTATATGTATTAACTCATTTTAATCTTCACAAAAGTGTTTTGAGTTACCTACTATTATTTTCTCTAATTTACAGATGAGGAAATTGAAGGCAAGTAAGGTAAATCATGTGTTCAAGGTCACACAACCAGTAGGGAGTAATGTCAAGCTTAACCAAGGGAATTAGGCCAGGCACGGTGGCTCACGCCTGTAATCCCAGCACTTTGGGAGGCTGAGGTGGGAAGATCACCTGAGGTCAGGAGTTTGAGACCAGCCTGACCAACATGGAGAAACCCCACCTCTACTAAAAATACAAAATTAGCTGGGCGTGGTGGCACATGCCTGTAATCCGAACTACTTCAGAGGCTGAGGCAGGAGAATTGCTTGAACCTGGGAGATGGAGGTTGCGGTGAACCGAGATCGTGTCATTGCACTCCAGCCTGGGCAGCAAGAGCGAAACTCTGTCTCAATAAAACAAAAAACAAACAAACAAACATACAAACAAAAAACAAGGGAATTTGTCCACAGAACTCAAAATCACCCACAACCTTTGGATGCAACTTCTTAAAGACTCAAGGTAGTACTCTATTTTTCTGCTCTTCAGGGTTCTG
Source organism: Homo sapiens (assembly GCF_000001405.40). Lineage (NCBI taxonomy): Eukaryota > Metazoa > Chordata > Mammalia > Primates > Hominidae > Homo > Homo sapiens. The sequence goes on from NC_000007.14 coordinate 153,425,334, forward strand.
AGCATTGGAGAATATACCTAAATTGTATTAGTCATGGTGACAGAACCACTAAGAAGAACCCTGCAGTCCTTCAAATATAGGCTTGGGCTATGGTTTGGATGTTTTCTCCCTCTGAACTTCATTTTGAAATTTGACCCTAATGTGGGGGTGTGGCCTAATGGGAGGTATTGGGTCATGTATGTGGATCCCCCATGAATAGATGAATGCCCTCCCTTGGGGGCAAGTGAGTTCCTACATTTTTAGTTCCATAGAGAGATGATTGTTAAAAAGAGCCTGGCATCTCCCCATCTTGCTTGCTTTCTGGTGGTGTGATCTCTACACACAGGATCTGCCATGAGTGGAAGCAGCCTGAGGCCCTCACCAGACACTGATGTCCAGTCTCAAACTTTTCATCTATCAGAATCCTGGCAAATAAACCTTTTCTCTTTAGAAACTACCTAGGCCCAGGTATTCCTTTATAACAGTACAAAACAGACTAGGATAGCTTATAATAATTGGTAAGAGAGAACCCAGGTTAATGAATTGAAGTCCATTTTCTGAGTTGGGTAGATGGAAAAAAATTCAAACTCTCTAGTACATTTGAAGATAGGAAGAAAGGAGGAAAACAGAGTTGAAAGGTTGTCAAAGCAGGGCATTCCTCATTTCCTTACCCTACAGAGAGACTAAGTGAGGGATCCCCACCCACCTGAAGTCAGACAACGGAAACAGAAAGAGTATACCTGTAGCAGAGTGCTCTGTGCTTCAGCACCGACTTAGAATGCAGAGACAGCACCTATTTTTAAAGTATGGACCAATAACTGTCAAGACCTAGCCAATGACATTCACTCTTTCTTTCCTGGGGAAGAGCAAGTGAGAAAATGGAGAGGAGGTGGAAAGGGCTGGAGGTGTAGAGTCCTCCCTTCTGTGGGTCTAATGCTCCATTCTGAGTGGAGAACCCTCAGCAGGCCCCAGCTCGTTAGGGCCTTCAGCATAGATCAAGGAGTCACTAAAGGCATTACTCTTCTGTTTGTAAAATTCAAGCCTGTACCCCCTCCTTCTGAGCCTGGACTGTTTTCTACACTCCTAGGACTCTGTTTTGACTGCCTGATGTCAGTAGCAAGGTAGAGCCCAGGAGCTTCTTAGCCACCCAGAGTGGGTAGGGGCTCTCATTTTAGCACCCTCTCAACAGGAAGCCCCTCCAGCAGTCTGGAATCAAGAAAGCGAATTTCCTTATTGGTCTTCATAAACATTTTTCAATATCTTCTTGTTCTGTAATATGGTCTCCACGGAACTATCTAAAGAGTGCCTGTTTCTACTGTCATAAGAAATTATAATTTATAATCATTAGGGATCTCCTCCAAATTAGGTATTCCTGTGATTATTACTGGAATTGGTAATCCTTACAATAATATAGAGAAAGTAGCCAGTGGTTAAAAAGCATGTTTCCCATTTATAATTGGAATAGCTTATTTGTCTTCTAATTCCTACTGCAGCTGTCAGTTCCTGGACTCCAGGAGTTCTCTGGTTCATGGGGTTAAAAAACAATTTTTAAGAGTCTTTATTGTCTTTCCTTTTTCCCTTTTTTATTTTGACAGGGCATAAAATGAATTTGCTAATTAGTTTTTCCTTCCTGACTCTCATTGTCTTATTACTTTAATTCCTCTCTGGTGAGACCAAGTAAACTTGACACAAGCTTACACCACTTCTTAAGACCAGTATTAAAAAACCTTTAAGACAATATGCAGTTCAAGTGGAGATTAGCCAGCTGTGACGCTTGACCAGGTGGGTGGCCTCCTTCGCCTCATCCACACAAGGACAAGATGAGGATATACTATCTCTAGATTTTCTCAACCTACAGCTTCTAAGAACAGAATTTCCCAAACCTGCCTGGAATACTTGTTTACAAAACAACCTAGGTATTCCAAATTTGAATCAGGGAAGAGATCTGGTTTCTATGCATTGCATTTAACGAGCACCACCAGCCTGTTCTTATCATCAGGGAAGTTTTGGAAACCCTAGTCTAGGAGGATAATTCTAGGCTCATATTCAGAAATCTGAAAACAGGTCATGTGCTCCCAGGTGTGACCAGGAGTTAACATGACTTTAAATGTATAATTTAGGTGAATTTGTTTTTTGAGGGAGTGTTGTCCTTCTCAGCAGACACTTTGGGAAGTGCAGTGTTGGTATCGCGTAGCTTTCAATCCAACATGTTCTCCAGCTATTGAATTATATAACATCTGGAGGTGGAGCCCAAGAATCCACATTGTAACATGTGTCCTAGGTGGTTTTTCTCGACACTAGAGCTCTAGAATGACTGTTCCAGAGGAAAGTGATAATCATTACAAACTTATGGATAAATCAATTCTATGCCAAATCTACTGTAATAAGATTTTGCAAACCGTACACAACTTTTCTTTCTGTCTAGAAGCATAAGATTTTAGAAATTTATAGCTGGAACACAATCTTCTGATTATTTAGTCCAGTGGTCCCCAACATTTTTGGCACCAGAGGCCAATTTTGTGGAAGACAATTTTTCCATAGATAGGGCAGCGGGGTAGAGGGGATGGTTTTGGGATGAAACTCTTCCACCTCAGATCGTCAGGTATTAGTTAGATTCTCATAGGGAGCATGCAGCCTAGATCCCTCATATGAGCAGTTCACCTCCTGTTGTGTGGCTTGGTTGCCAACAGGCCATGAACTGGTCTGTGGCCTAGGGGTTGGGGACTCCTGATTTAGTCCATGTCAAATGATACAGAAATTCATTTAAGGGGAAAAACATCTCACAGTACCTCTTTCCCCATAGTAAGAGGATCTGCCATCTCAAGAAAGTCTGAGCTAGTGCCTAAACCATCAGATCATCTGAAGTAACTTATATCAGACGTGGGTTCTGGGAAATATACCATATACCAACTGACCCATAGTGTTCAAAGGTATGGCTTGGCAATCTGACTTTAGCACAGAAGAATGAGATAATCAGTCAAATTCAAGAACCACTGACCTGTTCTCCTCTTGTTCAATAGATGAGTAAACTCAGTAACAAAGTCAAAGTGATTCATTAAGTCAAATTTGTGGTAGGCCTTTGATTTGTCTGCAACGCCGAACTCTGCTCTATGTGAATCACATAGAACTCTTCTGATGTCTCAGAAAGTCTGAAGGGGCAGTGCCATCCCTCTGAGTAGTAGAAGAAACATGGGGCTTAGAGAAGTTTTCTCAGCAATGATTGACATTCTTCACTAACACTGACTTTCAATGCCTCCTCTCCTCACCTGTTAATTAATCAAGAATGGCTCTAATCAATGGATTCTAATCTGTAATCCACACACAAAGAGAAGGGTTGGGTGGGGGGAAATTGTCATGACACTGCTGGTAGAAGGGAAGAGCTAAGCTGACGTGACTGGCTCATTGTGGGTCATGGATAATGAAGTCCTTGCAACAAGTCAACATGATATGCAGAGTCGTGAGCATCTTATAAACCACTGAATCCTGGCTTCATTATTATTTTCTTTTCCTAAAATTGTAGAAAAAGTAATGAGGCTCCAAAATAATCTCCAACCATGCTCATGCCCTGGTAGCCATTGCCTCGTCTAGTCCTTCCCACGTGGAAGAGGGATGACTGTGTAACCAGTAAGACATTGTGTGATTTCCAAGGTCAGGCCACAAAAGGCATAATGGCTGCTGCTTGGTTACCTCTTAGTTCATTAGTATGGCGGAATCCAGCTGCAAAGTTGTGATGACCCTTAAGAAGTACTATAGAGAGGTCTACACAGCAAGAAACCAAAGCCTCCTGCCCATAACTAGAGCTATCCTGCCAGGCACATGAATGAGCCTCTTAGAAGTGGACTCTCCCGCCTCGGTCCAGCCTTCAGACAACTGCAGCCTCTGCCTCATGACGGCGTTCATGCTACAACTTTCCTATAAACTGCTCCTGGATTTTTAACCTCCAGAAACTGCAAGAAAATACATGTTTACTGCTTTAAATCTAAGTTTTGGGGTAATTTGTTATGCAGCAATAGATAATTAATGCAAATCTGTTGAATGATTGTCCTACAAGATGGTAGTCTTATGTGCTAGAGGGTGACATGACTCTTTAAAGTCAGAAGAGGAAAGGGAAGCAACACAGGTCAGGTTTACAGGCTGAAAAGTCAGGGCCAGGGTGGCATGATTTCTGCCAGGGCATTGTGTCTAGCCCCTTGGATAACTGTAAATAGAGCAGGGGATACCAACTGGAAGGAAAGAAATTGAGCCAGAGGAAGAGGTAGAGGCCCTCACCCTGAGGGGAGCAAGTTTAATTTTCTTTCTTTCTCTGGTCTAGGCCACAAAACTATCCCTTTCATGAATCACAGAGGACCTTTTATTCCTATTGGGTGGTGAGCAGAACAACCGTGCCTTCTGGATAGAATGGAAAAGCCTGTGCTGTTTTTTGTTTTTTGTTTTGTTTTGTTTTAATCCTAAGGGGCAGAGAGCAGATGCATCAGGAAGAAGCACCTTTGCTGAAGAGCAGAGCTCAGAGGGTTGCTGCTCAGAGCAAAAATAAAATTTGAGGGGCCCCCAACCATCTGAATGGACTCCCTCCTCATCCAAGACACCCTAAAATTTAACCTGAAAGACTGGTTCAGGCCATGATGGGAAGTGGGGATTGGACATGCCTCACTATTCCCCTACAGCCTTAGCATCAACACAGACCTTAAGTCTGATAAGAAACATTTACTATCTATTCTCCCTAAAGCCCCTACTTGGAGGCTTCATCTGCATAATAAAACCCAGGTCTCCACAACCCCTTATCATAACCCAAACATTCTTTCCTATAGATAATAACTCTTTCAACCAATTGCCAATCAGAATATGTTTAAATCTACCTGGGACCTGGAAGCCCCCCTCCATCTCCCACCCCCACCTCTGCTTCAAGTTGTCCCACCCTTCCAGATCGAACCAATGTAAGTCTTACATGTATTGATCGAAATCTCATGTCTCGCTAAAATGTATAAAAGCAAGCTGTACCCCAGTCACCTTGGGTACATGTCATCAGGACTTCCTGAGGCCGTCATAGGCATGTTCTTAACTTTGGCAAAATAAATTTCCTAAATTGGTTGAGACCTTATAGTTTACACGGTCAACAGGGACGTCCACACTCTTTGCTGCTGCTTCTTAGTCACTTTTTGGGAAAGATGCTGAATTCATTTTCTATTATCACTGTAGCAAGTTATCACCTACTGAATGGCTTGAAACCATACAAATTCATCATCTTACAGTTCTGGAGTGCAAAAGTCCTGTGGTAGGAGTTAATTAAGAAATTATTGGCTGGGTGTGGTGGCTCACGCCTGTAATCCCAGCACTTTGGGAGGCCAAGGTGGGCAGATCACGAGGTCAGGAGATCGAGACCATCCTGGCTAACACGGTGAAACCTCGTCTCTACTAAAAATACAAAAAAATTAGCCGGGTGTGGTGGTGGGCGCCTGTAGTCCCAGCTACTTGGGAGGCTGAGGCAGGAGAATGGTGTGAACCCAGGAGGCGGAGCTTGCAGTGAGCCGAGATTGCGCCACTGCACTCCAGCCTGGGCCACAGAACGAGACTCCGTCTCAAAAAAAAAAAAAAAAGAAAAAAAGAAAACAATTATTTTAGGCAGATAGAGAGGAAACGGGGTCCTTGGAAAGTTTTTGTCTCTTTTAAAGCAGCTCCAGAAACGCTGCTTCTTGTCTAGCAGAAAAGCCCTGGCTCTTAGACCCTGGCTGGCAACCTTTGATATTCAAATGCAAGCCATTAGAAACTGGGTCAACCCAGGCTGGCCACCTTTAATATGCAAATGTAAGCCATTAGAAACTCTGTCCACCATTGTCATTGTCGTAGTCTTCTTGCACTTGCCCCAACATGTGCCTGGCAACAGGGCCGCCCCCACATATCCCTATATGTATAGAACATCATCGTGCCCTGTATTTGCATATTAAAAGACTAGGGTAGGCCAGTTTTTTTGCAGGCTACATGAATTACATACCTGGGCAAACCAATCCCCTGAGCACTATGCAAATCAGACACCACCTCCTTCAGCCTACTCATATAAGCAGCCACTTTTCCATGGTGTGGCACATGGGGTCTCCTCTTTCCACTTTGGAGCGCCCCCTGTAATGCCCAACCTGGTTTTTACTAACTCTGTTTTTAGACTCTCCCTTTTCCTTTAATCACCTAGCCATGGTTCCACCTGAATTGACTCTCCCTTAGCTAGGAGAGCCCGACAGACTCCATCTTGGCTCTTTCACTGGCAGCCCCTTCCTCAAGGACTTAACTTGTGCAAGCTGACTCCCAGCACATCCAAGAATGCAATTAACTGATAAGATACTGTGGCAAGCTATATCCGCAGTTCCCAGGAATTCGTCTGATTGATAACGCCCAAAGCCCCGGGTCTATCACCTTGTAATAGTCTTAAAGCCCCTGCACCTGGAACTGTTTACTTTCCTGTAACCATTTATCCTTTTAACTTTTTGACTACTTTACTTCTGTAAAATTGTTTTAACTAGACCCCCACCCCCTCCTAAACCAAGGTATAAAAGTTAATCAAGCCCCTTCCTCGGGGCTGAGAGAATTTTGAGCGTTAGCCATGTCTCAGTCACCGGCTAATAAAAGACTCTTAATTCGTCTCAAAGTGTGTGGCGTTTTTCTAACTCGCTTGGGTACAACACCCTTCCCTCTGTCTCTGTACAGGGGAGCTTCTTCCTTCTTTCTTCTCCCTTCTTTCTTGCTTATTAAACTCTCCGCTCCTTAAAACCACTCCACATGTGTCTGTGTTATCTTATCTAATTCAGCATGAGATAAGAGCCCTGGTGTTCCTCCACTCGTCAGAGCCGTATCAGTCCCAAGTGGGTCTCACGGGGTTAAAGTTAAAGCATCTGCAGGGAAGGCTCCTTCTGGGGCTCTAGGGAGAAGCTGTTTCCTTGCCTTTTCCAACTTCTAGATGCGGCGCACATTCCTTCCACACGGCCCCTACTTTCATCTTCCAAGTCAACCACATTGCTTCCTCCTGGCCCTTCTGCAGCATCATGTTTTCCTCTTAACACAACTGGGACAGATTCTTCTCTTGTAAGGACGCAGGTAATTTGATAGGGCCCATTACCGGTGGAGGGGGACCAGGCTTTAGGTGCTTTAAACAAAGAATTAGACAAAACGCACCAACAAAGCAAGGAAAGGATGAAGCAACAAAAGCAGAGATTGATTGAAAATGAAAGCATACTCCACGGGGTGGGAGCAGACCCAAGCAAGTGGTTCAAGGGACCAGTTACAGAATTTTCTGGGATTTAAATACCCTCTGGAGGTTTCCATTGGTTACTTGGTGTATGCTGTATATAATGAAGAGGATGAAGTAAAGTTACAAAGTCATATACTGGGTGTATGTAAATGAAAGGCTTTCCTGTCATTGCTGAAGTGTTTCCATTTGATTTAGGTCTCAGAAGTCCTTAGTTTCCCTGCCTCCAGGCCCTATTCTCCGGCTAATCCAGGATCGTCTTCCTATCTCGAGATGTTTAATTTAATTACAGCTGCAAAGTCCCGTTTGCTTTGAGAGGTGATGTATTCACAGGTCCTGGGGATTCAAACCTGGATATCTTTGGGGGCCATCATTCTGCTGATCACAAGTACCTTTCACTGGAAAACATTTAAATGATAGAGTGTTTTCAGGCTATCTCCTTCAGAATAATTTACTCCCCGAAGTCCAATATACCTGCCATTTCTCAGGTTATTCTGTACTGATCCGTCTGCTGGAGAAGCTGCTACATTGTCTGGGGTATATACCCTGGGGTTTGTCATCGTGTGGCAGAAAAATTTAGGACAGGGACACACACGGGGAGTTTAGGAGTGGAGGGTTAATAGGCAGAAGAGAAGAGAAAGAGAAACAGCTCTTTCTACAGAGAGAGGGGTCTCCCAGCAGAAAGGACCTAAGGGTGGTGGATGCCCCAGATTTTATAGTCAGGTTTGAGGAGGTGGTGTCTGATTTATACAGGGCTCACAGATTGGTTCAATCAGCTATGACGTTTACATTGGGGAAGGCTGGCAGCCCCACCCTAATCTTATTATGCAAATTAACTCTCCCAGTGACCTGCGCCATCTTGTCTGCTCCTTACTGTACATGTAGCTGATAGAGAGAAGGGAAGATGCGGCCGCCATTTTGAACATGATTCGCACAACTGCCAGCATCTATGTCTGCAGCTCGATTTTTCCTTCTGTGGACTTCCGTACCCTCACTATCTGCCTAAGTAATTTCTTCTTAACTCTGGTATCACTGGGGAACACGGCTGGGACTCACCTGCTGACTGAAGGCTTCAGAGGGCACCTCCTCCTCCCATCTATGTCGTCTGCCACTCCAAGAGACTCTCTGGTTCAATTTCTCCTGAGAAGGAACCTTCCACCTGCCATTTAGTGGAGAAAGGGCAACTTGGGATGGAAATTTTCTTTATACAGACTTTTAGGTGGTCCTGCTGTTTTTAAAAGGAGACATCTACCCTCAATTTTGAGCATTTCCAGGAGCCTGTTGTGGGACATCAGCTTGCTTTTCTTTCGCCTCCCACTTTGTTTTTCTTTTTGTGGACACATGTGTTTCCTCCTCCTCCATTCTGTCAACCGAGTTATCTTCTCTCATCCATTTTTCATTATCAACATTTTTATTTTATTATTTATTTCCTCTTTTAAAAAAAGTTTTATCTTCTATTTTTTTCCTCTGTGAATTTGTTGTATTTTTATTTCTGCACAGACATTTCTGGGGCAGGGAAAAACAAATGCATGGCAATCCAACATGTTTAAATGAAAAGTTTTGCCTGGATTTTTGTGAGCACTTTAACTCATGGGCAGAGAAGTAAAAGTCAAAGAGCATGGAACTAAATGCCAGGAGACTGGGGTCTCACCCCAGCACCTCCCTGCCCTGCTTTGTGGTAAGAACCCTCGGTAAGAATGATGTCAGGGTGTCACATCTTTGTCACACCACTCTTCTCTGGCACCACTTAACATCTCTCTCAGCTCATATCTCGTCCCTGAAAAGCCCTTCTCTAGCTTCCCAGGACACGAGCACTAAACTCCAAATCCTTACTGTGACTTTTGAAGCTCTGCATCATCCAGCTTGGGCTATTTTGGGGTTCCTCTTGTGTGACTCACCCATTTTTTATGTTCCAGCATCCTGGGTTTTGTTAGCCCTTCCCACTTTCCCTCTTCTGGGACTCTTCCTGCTTCTGTGCAGCATCGTCTCCCCTGACAGGCCTTCCCGAACCCCAAGTCTAGGCCAGGCCCAACTGTTATCACGCTTTGAGGGGAAATGGGAGTTTGTAAGTTTGTAAGGCTACAAAAGTGAATCGTAAAAACCACATGCAGAGGTATGTCATCAGCTTCTGCTGCACCCACTAGGATCAATGAGGCCAGAGAGAGTGTCTACTCTGTTCACCACATGCATTAGTCAGCCCCTAGCACACGACCTGGCATGCGGCAGATGATAAATGGTATGTTATGTGCATGAACTGCCCATTTCCTCACCTGTAAGTGGGCTGCAATCTGAAGACAGATGTGAATGCTTTGAAGTATGGAACATGTAATAGTGTCAGAAGCAATATTCACATTTGAGGATGCCCAGGCATTCACACGATGAGAAACCTCTTTGCTCCTTTATCAGCTGCTTCTTAAGGTCTTCTGTGACTTTTCAGGAGAGAACAAAAGGGCACAACAAGGAGAATGGAACTTATCACTTCACTTGTTTATCTCTTCAGAAGGCCTTGATGTCAAGGGTCTAGTGTTCTTAGAGTGAGAAACTTAATGCCATTGCCTGTCCGAGAGCCAAGGACAGGAGACCAGCCAATGACCTGGAGCAGCTGCCTCCTTGCTGGTCTCCTGGGCTCAAGGGGAAACATCTTCCTCTTTCTTCCATCATTTTAGGATCCAGCTAGATCAGATCCCTCACCTTCTGCTATCTGGGCCCACCACAGACTGAATTAGTGGGTTCTCCTTGGAAGGCAGCCTCAACTCAGCTGCTGTCATAATTAGGAATCAGGAAAGTCCCCGCAGACTAGATCATGTTCTGATTCTCTCTCTTTTGGAAATAATTAATAAGGAAGGGATTTGGCCTGAGTTCTGATTCTCCCTATTTGAAACCAGGGGCATGGATGAGCAATGGGCGGTAGAGCTGTGTATGGGGAAAGTCGAGAGGGCTGGCCCATGTCCATTGAAGATCAGTGAAGTATAAGAAGCATAATGAATCAATAAACAGTGTTTTTTCTCACTTTCCTTTATAAACACTTTTCTTAAAAAGGAACAAATGAATTCTATTAGGTAACATTAAATGAAATTAGTGTCTGCTGCATGATGCCATTCATTTACTAATCACTACCATTTTTTATTATTGTTATCAGTGGGACTTTCTCTTAATCTTTTGAAATAATTTTTGACTTAAAGGAGAGCTTCAAAAATAGTAGAGTTTCCATGTATTCTTCATCCTATCTCTCTTCAATCAATATCTTATATGATCATAGAATAGTCATTCAAAACTGAGACATTAACCTTTATGTAATGCTATTCAGTAAAGTACAGAACTTATTTTGGTTTCACCAGTTTTTTTTTCCACTAATGTCCTTTTTCTGTTCCAAGATTCCATGTTACATTTTGTCACCTTGTCTCTTCAGTCTCCTGCAATTTGTGACAGTTCCTCAGTCTTTCCTTGACTTTCATGACCTTGACACGTTTGAAGAATATTGGTGAGGCATTTTATAGAACAACACTTTAGTTGAGTTTGTCTGAGGTTTCTAGTGATCAGATCAAGACTCTGTGTTACTAGAAAGCAGAGATGACATGTCCGTCTCAGGGCATCTTATCAAATGGTACAGTTTTTCAATTTGTGTGTTTTGGTGATGGTGGCCTTGATCATGTGACCAAGAGGCATCTCTACTGTGGATTTTTGGGAAAGATACTTTGAGACTATGAAGATATCTGATATGGTTTAGCTCTGTGTCCCCACCCAAATCTCACCTTGAATTGTAATCCCCATAATTCCTAGTGTCAAGGGTGGGACCAGCTGGAGGTAATTGAATCGTGGAGGCAGTTTCCCCCATGCCGTTCTTGTGATAATGAGAGTCTCATGAGACCTGATGGTTTTACAAGCATCTGGCATTTCCCCTGCTTGCACTAATTCTCTCTCCTCCCACCCTGTGAAGAGGTGCTTTCTGCCATGATTGCAAGTTTCCTGAGGCCTCCCCAGCCATGCAGATCTGTGAGTCATTAAACCTCTTTTCTTTATAAATTACCCAGTCTCAGGTATTTCTTCATAGCAGCGTGAGAACTAATACAATATCCTATCTCTGCTTAAACTTTTGCCCACTAATTTTAACACTTGTATCAGTGAATCTTGACTGCACTGATGTTACTCTGTGGTTCTAATGGTAATTTTGGATTTTTCTCTTTCCTTCTTCATTTTTTCATTGGAATTCTTCTGTAAGGAAGAGTTACCACTTCTTCCTTTGACTTACTTATTTGGTTATTTCTATCAGTATGGACTCATGGATATTTATTGTATTTGAGTTATAATCCATCACCATTGTTATTTATCTCATATAATTATTTCCTCAAGTTGTTCTAACTCTGGCCATTGGGAGGTTGGGTCCCATCTTTCAATATGTGTGCTACTTTGTTCAGCGTTTTCTTATTTTCTAGCTCCATGGAATGGTCCAGGATCATCTTATATTTTCTTTATTCCAGTCTTTGAATCAGTCGCTTCACTAAGGAGCCCTGACTCCATTATTATTATTACCATTATTACTATAGAATGGTATTTAGAAACCAAGTTGTGTGTGATAATTGTGCCCATTGATACCAGGGTCTTCCTGCTACTTCTAGGTGCCCTCAATGCGTAGAGCTAGGAATATATTTACTTATATAACACATGCATATACACATCTGCATTTATTCCTTTAGTTTTCAGCACATACATTAAAATAAAACCATAAATTTATATTGCTCCAACTCCAAATCCAGCACCACAGAGTTCTTCCCAGTCTCTCCCTTTTCTTGAAGAATTTGTAAAGTATTCCTCCAACAATGAGAGATGTGGTTCTTATTACCTGTATTTATTTGTTCAACCCCAGAACACAGAACAAAATAGTTTCAGAATTCGTAACCCCTGTGACTTTCCTTTTATTCATAGCCCGTGAGGATTCTTTATCTTTTCTCAGTCAATTTATGTTTTGCTTCTGTCAGTCTTCAAACAATTGTTTTCAAATTATAATCTCTGAGGACTGATTGTTTGCTTCCCCAAGTCTCTTTTAAACATTGTGCTTTTGCCCCTTTAGCCTGTGTTCCTCTGTGCTGTGCTTCACCTGAGTCTTACCCTCTTTAGCAAGGCTGTAAGAGAGGCTCTCATTTTGTCTCTGGTGGAGGGCAGTGCGTTCTTTGTTCTCTTGGACATTGCTTCTTGGAGATTCCCTTGTTGTGTTTTCCTCACACTAATCATTTCTCTTTCTCCCCCTTCCCAAGTGCCTCATGTTCTAACCCTGCCTTCTCTCTGCATGTCTCCTATTTTCTTTTAAATATGAAGCATGATGGAAATACAGAATGTCTTTCAAAACCAGTAATGATATTTCTGGGAGATTCTCTTCCCTCCCATGCCATTTAAAATTCTGTATTGAAGTTGGATGACCTTGAGAATTTTTAGTACACGATAAATCTAAAGGAATTTCTGATGATTTAGCATGGGAAGAATGTTCATCATTTCTCATGAGTTCCAACTGGGCCATTGTTCTGGTAATTTATATGAGAGAGGGGCTTCCAATAAACAAGTCATTCATCAGGAAATGGTAAACACTTCAAGGATATTGAGGTATTTTATGTTTCATATGTTATTATAAACTCCTGAGGGCAAGTACAAAAATGTGCTCACTTACGGGCCCATACTCTCATTCATACACACATGAAATAGTATGGCAGCCACAATAGTGAAAACAGGAATAAAAGAAACTTCACAGGAAATACAATCTGAACTGCCAAGTTGAAGGCTTTTTAGTGTTTAGAAAATAATTGGTAATCACTAAAAGCCAACATTGCACTCAGTTTTTTCAGTTGAAAGTTGGAATGGGGAAACTGGAATTCTTTTTTTCTTTTTATTATTATTATTATTATTATTATACTTTAAGTTTTAGGGTACATGTGTACAACGTGCAGGTTTGTTACATATGTATACATGTGCCATGTTGGTGTGCTGCACCCATTAACTCGTCATTTAGCATTAGGTATATCTCCTAATGCTATCCCTCCCACCTCCCCCCACCCCACAACAGTCCTCGGTGTGTGATTTCTTTACAGCTGTGAGTGCCTGGACCTTCCCACACTGCTCTGTGAAGACCCAGGTTTAATGAGTTTACCAGCTTGTCATCCGCAGGCTCCGTGAGTTACATGTTTCCCATTTGTAGCCCCCTGTTCTCATATCTGAGAGCTCAGGCATTCACCTAGGTCCCGCTTAGCCCTCAGGCATAAGTTTTTCACATTTGATTAGTATCAGTTTGTTACTTATTCACCCAGTGATTCTGCTTTGCTGTTGGCTGGTAGTTTCGTTTAGCCCAATGATGATCTTTGTGGGATGATTTTCCCTCTCTGTGTCTGCGTGCTCAGTGCCTCTCGATGAAGATCTCTGTTGGAGAATGTTAATGCAGCCCCCAAGTCTCTGTCATGCCATGGCGGGCTGGTAATGAGAGAAGACAGACAAGTTAGAGGAGACCCGGTGTTTGTGAGATGCCGCTCACCCCTTCCCTCTCTTTGCTGTGGGAAAGAGGATCAGCTGCTGTTGACTCTCCTTACTGCTCTCTTGTGGGTGGCAGCTCATCTTCGTCCATCCTCTAGAGAGGTGTAAAATATTTATTATTTCCTGCATTCTACACACCACCCAATAACTCCTGGAAAGAGAAACAAATTCCACTGAGAGGCAACATCAGTAAACAGAGACCTCAGGATCATCAGGTGGGCATGATCAGCACCTTGCAGGATCACTTGCTTAGTGAAAAGAAATGATCCTAAAAGAATTCAGTTGACTGAGTGTGATATATCTACATTAGCTACCCCCAAATTCATTCTTGACTCATAACAGAGTTTCTCAGGCATTTATCACGTCTTATTTATTCTTAGTTTAGATATACTTCTAATAAGCTTTTCACCTGGTCTCACAATCTGAATCAGAGATATTTGGGGAGGATGAGAAAGTACCTTCCTTGGCTGCGTCACTCGGAGCCTGTGTAAGCTGGGACAGGTCATCTCGGCAGCCTGGAAGCAGGATTCATATCTATGTATGGACGGCCTGGAGTAGATGACTGCTAACCCTAACCCTCCAGCTTACATATGTGATTTTCCAGCATTTTGTAAACCTTCCCAAGGCCTCAGCCAGGTGCTGGGCACGATGAACCACTTGGTGAAGTTCGGCCGGCTGTAGAGAGAAACAACAGGGGAATGACAAAGAACTTCTTGTCTCTAAACCATGGGTCGCTGCTATGGTCTGAACGTTTGTCCCTCCCCCAGACCCCAAATTTGTATGTTGAAATCCTAACCGCCAAGGTGAGGGTTTTAGGAGGTGGGGCCTTTTGGGAGGGGATTAGGTTGTGAGTGCAGAGCCCTCATGAATGAGATAGGGCCCTGATTAAACGGACCCCAGAGAGCTCACTTGGCCCTTCCGCCATGTGAGGACACAGGGAGAGGGTGCTGACTCTGAACCACAGAGTGGGCCCTCCCCAGACACCAAATCTGTAGCATCTCGATCTCAGACTTCCTGCCTCCAGAACTGTGAGAAAGACATTTCTGTTGTTCATAAGCCACCAGTCTATGGCATTTTGTTACAGCCACCCAGATGGACTAAGACAGTCACCCAGAGATCAGGGACATTGAGGAATTCTCCCCTGATGAGGTGAAGTAGACTCGGAAAGGACTGTTGGAAGAAAAGGACCTCCCAAGAGAAAAGCTACCAAGGCAAGAAGGTTGGTTCCATCTGACTCAATGAAGCCTCTTGTCTTCGAGAGCCCTCACAGGGCTGAGTCCCATTGAAGAGACTCTCATTCTAAGCTTGGAATGGAAGTCCGAGGGGACTTCCTGGGAGAAGCCCACTTCCTCCTATCTTTGGGCTACAACAGGAATGACTTGGAAGGTCCGCTGCTTAATGAAAACTGCAGGCAGCTGGATCTGAGGAAGCCCAGCCTGGACTGAGTGTTAAGTAGGGAAGAGATTTTACCATGGAAGTCTGCTTGCAGAAGGCAGACACATCTGCTGTCAGTATAGAGATGAAACCAGGGAGGATCTGACCACACAGCAGTTTTTGGAGGGCATTTAATAACCCATGTGATTTCCTTCCCCATGAAGCATGAAGACCACTGGCTGCTAGGCCCCCAGAGAGGAGGCTGGACAATGGTGCTGGCTGCCTCCTGTGTCGTCCACCTGCCTGTCACCCGGCCCCTCTGCCTGGTGCCCTGCACATGGCCCTTGCTCACAGAGTGGCCCCTGCTGTGCTGCTGCTGCTGCTGTTATGACCCAGGGCCGGTGCTTTTGGATCTCAGAGATGAGGAAGATCAGTGTGGGTGGAGCAGCAAGGACATTCTTTTTGAGAGATGAGACATGCTGGGCACTGGGGGAGTCACTCAGGTTTTATCTTTTACTCACAATAGAAGACAAAATGGAATGTGTAGGAGGAGAGCCAGAGAATAGAGAGGGCAAGAAAGGAAATGAGGAGAAGGGAGTGAACATGATGAATGCCGTGGCAGCGAAGTCAAGGATGCAGACAGGAAGGAAGCTCCCATGCCTTTTAAAAAACCCTTCCTTAAAGATGGTATCCTGTGACATCTGGACTTAATCATTTTGATGATATCTTTGGTGCACCTGAGAATGAATTGGCATCATAATAATAACTCACACAGAAATAACTCGAAAATTAGCAAGGTACCTAACAGTCCTCGTTCAGGAAGAGGCGTAAGAGCAACAGGCAAGAAGAGTTCAGGAACTCCTAAGAGGTTTAGTGCACCCAGCAGGCTGAGGGGAGGAGCGGGGTGAGTTCCACAATGTCACTCTCAAGTCCAAACCCTCCCGCCTGTGGGAGCCCCTCCCTGCCTCGCAGGTAACCACCCACACTCAGGTGCAATGACACTGTCTTCCCAGCACACCCACCTATGCCTTGTTCAACTGCACCCTGGCCATGCACGCTGCCCAGAAAGCTCACTTTTCTTTGTCCCCACTCGTCTGAGTCCTCCCACCCTTCAGATCCCTTTCTGGTCCTGTCTGCAACATGAATCCTACTCTGAGTGCTTCATGAACCCTGAGCTCATGGTCACCTCCATAAAAGCGTTTTGTAATGATTTCATGTGTGAATTTTGTGACTGTATCGTGATGTCCTGTTCTACCCTAGATTTCCCAATGCTTTGCGGAGAGCTGGAGGACACAGGACACACTCAAGCCGTAACCCTGTTGGGCCCACTCTGTGGTTCAGAGTCAGAACCTTCTAGTTGTGTCCTGGCATGGTGAAGGGGCAAGTGAGCTCTCTGGAGTCCCTTTAATAAGGGCCCTATCTCATTCATGAGGGCTCTGCACTCACAAGAAGGGCACAACAAACACAATAAAGGCACAATAATCTACTCCTATTGTGTTTGTTGATGTACTGGTGGGTTTCCTAAGATGATCTTAATGATTAATGGCTAAGTCAAGTTAAAATTCAGATTGCCTGCTTCATCTTTCAGGAATTTTTGGAAACTTAAACAGCAAAGACCCACCCAAACTTCAAATTCCCTGCTCTCTAAAGCAATGCTTTGTAAACCGTCTTCTACAGCACAACAGAAACCCTTCCAGAAAGGTCCAGGCAGTGCAGGAGTGTTGAGTGTAAGCTTTGGGTTTGAATGTTGACTGTGGGCTTTGGATTTGAGTGTGGTACTAGCAAGTTTGAGAGAAAGAGAGGTAATGTTTCTTCATCTGTTAAGTGAGAATCATGTAAGAGAGAGTGCTCACACAATGCCAGACATATAGTAAACAGCCCCAAGTGTTAACTACTGATAATTATGACTTATTCAGTGATCTCCAGACCCTCCTCCAGCCAGTATCCTCTGTCTAGTGTAAGTGTTAATTATTACAAAATGATTGAGGTCTCATTGAAAGTAGAATCAAGCTGCATTGCCCATCACGTTGTCAATCAATTGCTGCAAGTGACGTTGACATTCAGTTACTGATATGGTTTGGCTCTGCATCCCCACCCAAATTTCACTTTGAATTGTGATCGCCATAATCCCCATGTGTCAAGGGTGGGACCAGGTGGAGGTAACTGGATCCTGGAGGTCGTTTCCCTCATGCTGTTCTCGTGATAGTGAGTGAGTCTCACAGGATCTGATGGTTTTTATAAGCGTCTGTCATTTCCCCTGCTTGCACTTACTCCATCCTTCTGCCTGTGAAGAATGTACCTACTTCTCCTTTGCTTTCTACCATGATTGTAAGTTTCCTGAGGGCTCCACAGCAATGTGGAACTGTGATTCAATTAAACCTCTTTCCTTTATAAATGACCCAGTCTTGGGTATTTCTTCATAGCGGTGTGTGAATGGACTAATACAGTTACCAAAACTGAACAGGCAGGCATTATTAGATATAGCCTTGACACTCTGTCTTGTTGATAAAACTTTTAGTAAGAATAAGTCCTGGGAAGTGCTGATTAGGTAATAACAATATTAACTGTAAGACTTTGCTTAAAAATCTCAGGAGAGACATATCCAAGGTGGACGGTAAATAACAGATATTCACCTGGGGCTATTCAAAAGGAAGTGTGATGACCCAGTACCGAGAGAGAACTGGGTTGGAGGGATGCCAGGGGGGAAGTGCTCCAGCCACATGGTCCAGACTGGCATCTGTGTGCAGCAAGACAGTGTCACCCCACAGGACACACCGAGAAAGTCACCTCTTCCCTGTTCTCTTCTTCCCAGTAATGCAGGATCCCAGTTGAATTAGCAGAAAACATCAGGCAGCTGGCTGCTACTTTGTCTTTTTTGCTGCATTTATGTCTGAGCTCACCCAGGGTATGTCATAGGGCACTGCAAAGTCTCTCATTGAGAGTAACCGGCTGCAGGAATCATATATCTTCATTAGAAATGACTTTAGACATAGAGACTCCCGCGACTTTCTCTTCTGAAGCAGACCTCTCTGTAAACTTGTAACCACACTGAATGCCTTTGAAAAACATCCTTCAAAAAGATCCATAGGGAACTTTTGCTCTCCCTGTGTAGTTTCAGAGTGATTCACAGACATTTTTTTCAAACTTAAGTCAAAAACTCAGTCCACTTGGAGACTAAATTATTTACATCCACTACAGAGCTCTTCTTAGCTGCCGTTGCCAAGGGGATTTGGAAGTCCACACTGTAGATCCTTGGCTTGTTTTTAAAATTATTTTTGACATCCCTTTTGCCTCTTCTCTCCAAGTGCTCAGATTGTGCTCAGAAGGTGCACAGGGATCATGCCTACCGCCTATGATGTACAGAAGACTGTCCCAGGTGTTTAGGGCTTAAAGAAAGCGCTGCATTCAAGTTTCCTGGAGTTCTGTGGGGACAGTGAACAAAAAAGATCATGTTTAAGGAGCACAGGCAGACTGTGCCCTGCTGGCTGGAGTGGTCAGAAAAGGCTTAATGGACGGGCAGTACGGACCCCACAGGGCTCCGCAGGAGGTGGGACTGGGTAGAGCAGGGGTGTGTTCTGGGGGAAGGGAGGATTGAGGATGAGGTCTCAGATCAGAGCACCTGAGGTGTATGATGAGAACGGTGGGCCAATGCAGCTGCCTGGGGAGAAGGATTCTCCCTGGAAGTAAGCTTGAGTAGTAGGTGGGAGCCTCACATGCCTGAGAGGAGAGTTTGGGTTTTATTTTACAGATAATAGAGTATTAAAGACAGTGTGTAGGAGGCATGATGTTGTGATGTTGTAGTGGGAATGGACACATGTCTGGGCACTTCGTTTCTAGAAGTGAAGAAATTATGAGGCCTATTGCAAGCACTTAAGGTCAGTTTCATCTGATGGCAATTGCGATAGGATAGCAAGGAAGATTAGAAGACATGTCACAATGAAAGCTTGGATAAGACTGTTACTCGCTGAATACAGAAAGAAGAATGAAAAGGAAGCATTATTGGTGTAAGGTGACGGGATAAGGTAGAAATGAGATGTGACCGGACACCTGGAGCCTGCTGTTCTGGTACAATGTTTTCTTTAACTAGCTAGCTCTGTGACCTAGGAAAGCTGGGTGACTTCTTTGGGTTACCATTTAATCATAGATGAGCCAAGTACCAATAAAATGAGGCCTTCCTTCTTAAGTGCACTTGCGAATGAAATGAGAATTGATATGAAAGCATTTTGAAAAGTCAGAGATATCATTGAAACAATTATCATCATTAATATTACTGTGCAACTGGAATCTTTCCGATTCATTAATTTTGCAAACCATGCCCAGCTGAAGGGAGTTGGAGGACATGCATCTCGCTAGCATGTGTCTGTTTCTGGAGGGAGATCAAAAGACTGCTTTGCATCACTGCAAGAAGGGAATTTCCTATTTCCAGGCAAAACAATAAAAATGAGCAATCTCTCTCGAGCTTATCTCTGAAAGACATGATTCTCATAAAAGTCGTGATTGCGGCATAACCATATACAGTACACGAGCACTATCCTCAGCTCCCCTGCTGTGCGAGGAAGTTTTCCCTGGCCGTAATAAACACAAAATACCAGATAATGCCACAGCCTGCATGATCACTTGGGCAAAGCGCTCACTCCACTGCTGACTTTTGGGGTTCAGGCTTCCAGAACACTCTAACTTCCAAGCCCCATACTGGGGCTGAGAGAGTTATTGCACACCTGCATGCGTGGCTCTGAGACGGGAAGACCTTGTATGAAGGCCTGGGACTCCTAGACCATCTTGCCACTTGGTCCTCACTCCCTGTGCCTTTCCCAGCCAGAGGCCAGCAGACGTGGGACTGAAGGCAGGAAGGAGTTGGGGCAGATGTTGTAGCTGTGGGAAGTACCAGCCTTTAGGTGATAGATGGGGACATGCTCAGCCTTCAGGCTCAGCTGTAAGAATGGTCAAGTGTCCTGCAGATGTCCAGGTGATTCATGTTGTCATTTTGCCAACTCAACATTAATATGAGGGGGTAATGAGATCTCAGTATATGTTTGTTGTTAGTGCTATGCATCCCATTCTGTAACAAATGTTTCCCATACATTATCTTATTTAATCTTCACTAGCACCTTCGAAAGTAGGCATTCTTATAATGCCTGCTTTATGGATGAGAAAACAGCGTGGAGAAGGCAAACACTTTTTATAAAGCTTCACAGCTAATAAATGATAGTTCTGGATAACACCAAAGCCGACAATTCACCTAAGAGTTTCACTAATTTTGGAAACTTTCTGACATCCTGGGAATGAAAGTCCCTGCCCCACAATTTTACCTCTATACTTGGCACACGCTAAGCACTCAAAAGAATTTTTGGATTGATTCATCACAGATGGAATGAGGGTGGAAATGTAGCATCTGCAGCCCAGCGTGAGAAGGAAATTAGCTGGACCAGGGCCTCCGAGATCATGGCAGCACCGAGGCTGACCTTGGGAGAGGAGATAGGAAAACAGAAGCCATACAGAGCTAAAGGAGGGAGAAATGGGAGAAAAGTGGAGAAGATAAAGCAGAAAGGGTTGAGAAAGTGGAGGGAAAAGCAGAGGCAGCTAATGGAATCAAGTGTGAGGCATTAGAAAACTTGACTTCGTGTACTTGTCTAAGACCACTCTACTCTCAGGTAATGGCTTTCTTATATATTCATATTGAAGTAAAGAAATGGGCCCAGGTCAGGTGTGGTGGCTCACGCCTGTGATCCCAGTGCTTTGGGAGACCGAGGTGGATGGATCACCTGAGGTCAGGAGTTGGAGATCAGCCTTGTCAGCATGGTGAAGCCCTGTCTCTACTAAAACTACAAAAATTATCTGGGCATGGTGGTGGGCACCTGTAATCCCAGCTACTCAAGAGGCTGAGGCAGGAGAATCACTTGAACCCGGGTGGTGGAGGTTGCGGTGAGCCTAGATTGTGCCATTATGCTCCAGCCTGGGCAACAAGAGTGAAACTGTCAAAAAAAAAAAAAGAAAGAAAAGAAAGGAAGGAAGGAAGGAAGGAAGGAAGGGGAAAGGAAAGGAAGGAAAGAAAGAGGTCCAATTGAGCAGTTCATAAATTAAATGTGTGCCCTGCAAATCAAAGCTCTGGATACATTTGCTGAACAAGAATACTAGGTACATAGGTTGTGGGTTTATTTTGTCAACTTTGGCCACAGATGTCTTTGCCCCTTTCTTCTGAGAAAGGGAGTGGAGCTGTCATTGAGAGGACACATGCTTCCTCCAGGTGGCCCTCCTGTGGTGAAAGCCCCACACACCCAGGGGCAATTCGCCCTTTCTGGGAACTGGGGAGACTGTGCTATAGGTCTGCCTAATCCTTCATAGACACTCAGCTGTCTCGGGCAGCTTCTCAGCCCCTTCCTTCTGTTTTATTCCCTGGGGAGCAGGGAGCTACCTGTAGTCTTTTCTCTCCTAGCTTATTCCTTCCAACTTATACATCTCACCTTTGGTCCATTATAGCATATTTTTTACTTTATAATTTATGGCCCATGGAGCAAGCCAGTTACTTTTGCTTCAAATTGTAGGACATCTCAAGAAAAACAATAAACACAAAATTTTCCATGTAGGCAGACCAATCCTCCCTCTTTCTTCACTGAGTCCTTGTATGGAAACTCACTGGTATAACGAGACCCTTAAGACACAAAGAATTTTCACTGACAATTTAATTTGAAATAAAACACTTGAGAGGAAAACAAGCTGTGTTTCAGTCAGAAGTTGGAAGGTGATGGAGGAAGACAGAAAGCCCAGTGGTGACGGCAGGAAGGGGAGGCTGCTGGGGTTTCAGATCGTGGGTGGCTCTCAGTAAAGCTAGGAGTTAGGGCTTTAATTCATGCTGTCATTTCTCCTCCACATCTCCCCACCCGAAGGCCTGTTCCCTTCCAAAGCTCTGAGTGTTACCTTTTGTCATGACTTGTTTCAATGCTGCTGATTCGAAGGTCCAGATGCTGGTGGTGACTTGGTGACCTGGGGGAGTCCTGCAGGTCGGGATGTGCCTATGCAGAAGAAGAGAGCGTGATTTGGGCCAAAGACAGAGATGGCCTCAGGTGTGATCCTTATGGGTTTATAGGGTCCTGTGTGCTGGCGTAAAGACCTCAGCACTACAGTGGAGCTAGGAATAAAAGTGCTTTCCAAATCCTTAACAACTGCCTTAAGAGAGGAATACCTTCATAAGTTTGGAACTGCCTTTGAACTGATAATGAAATTATTTCCCCTTCAGGCTCTCCTGCAGTTAGGCGTGGCCCAGGTGCAGAGTCCTGGGTGATGGAATGTGAGTGCAGTTAGGTGCACTGCTTCCCCACTTCCTGAGCTAGGTCTTCTCTGCCCCTCCCCTCTCCCTGTCCCAGTGCAAATGCCTGGTGCAGCCTTGACAGCTGTGTGTTGGACATGGTGGTTTCTCCGGATGGGAGGAGCTTGGGTCTCCTTGTAGACAAGGAGTGCTGCCTGTGGGTCAGGAACACTCATGTCGAGTGTTACATGAGTGAGGAATAAATCTGAAAATGTGCCATAGCTCAAACACAACAAGATTTATGTGTTATAGCAACAAATGGAGTTGAGAGAGCTCTCTGTTTCTCAGAAACACCGTTTTTCATTAAAAATAGCAAAAATGAGTCTAGGTTAAAAAGAAAAGGTAAGTCATTCTGAGGCAGGGCAGATTTTATTTTATTCTTTTTATTGACACATAATAATTGTACACATCTATGGGGTAAGTGTGATATTTGATACATGCATACAATGTGGAATGAGCAAATCAGGTTGTTGGGTGTCCATTGTGTCATTGATCATTTCTTTGTGTTGGAAACATTTCAAATCTTCTCTTCTAGTTATTTTTTGACACATATAATAAATTATTGTTAACTATAGTCACCCAACTGTGCTATCAGACACTAGAATGTACTCCATCAAACTGTAGTTTTGTACCCATTAATCAACTCAAGTTCCATTCCACTCTCTACCTCCTTGAGATCAACTTTTTTAGCTCCCACATATGAGTGAGAATAGGTAGTATTTGTCTTTCTGTGCATGGCTTATTTCACTTAATCTTTAACAAATATTTGAGTAAGCAATTATTTATTTTTTGAGGGGGCTTCATGCAAAGGAGATGTCTTTAACAGGAATATGGCCATATCTCTGCTGTCATGAGGCTTATAATCTAGCAGAGAGGAAGACTAAAAATAGTTATAATTATGTAATTAATGACTTTAATATATTCAAGGAGAGAGCTATGAGACAATATAACAGGATGACCTACTCACTCTGTAGGGTTCAAAAAAGACTTCCCTGATTGTACAATTTAAAGTTATAATTTACAAAATTTGTGCTTAGTATCTCCCAAGACAGCAGTATGTACAGGGGTCCTGAGTCAGAAAAGACCTTCATTGGAATTGAAAGAAGAGCAGGGTGACTAGAGCACAGTGAGTCAAGGGAAGGGATTCCTTACAGCCAGATCCTCCAGGGTTTCTTGGACCTTGATGCAAATTCTCCACAATAGCCCATTCATGCGTGTAACCTATTATATATTTTGAACAAGAAGTGATATACAAATAACACTTTAGGGTGAGCACTTTGGTTGATGGGTATGAAATGGTTTAGAATCCATCAGAAATGGATAGCAATTAGGAGCCTATTGCCAGTTCAGGTGAAAAATCATGGCCTCCTTGGAATAGTAGTGGGTAGTGATGGTGGAGGTAAACTGACATAGCCAAGATCCCTTGTGTGGAAATAGAAATGACAAGACCTGGGGATGGATTGGGTCTGAAGGTTAGTGATGACAAGAAGAGGAAATGATTCCCCATTTCCAGGATTGAGCAGTTTGTTCATGGAGATGACAAGGGCTGGAGGGAAGCAGGGGGAAATCTTACATGGTGTGAATCCCAGCCCAAGGCATTTACCTCCTCCAATATACATCTCCTGGGATGTGATCAGTTGAGGATTGGATTTTGAAAGATAGACATGTTTTAAATCAAATAAAAATATGTGGGAGTTATGGAGAATGAGAAGAACTTTAGATGATGATGTATTCATGCCCTTCTATTCAAAAAATGTCTTAGTAAAAATTCTAGGTCTTTTTTTTTCAATAACTGTTTGATCTTCTATAAAACTCCAGTGGAATGGCATTTTCTCAAATAAAACTCTTCTAGAATTACCAATAAATGATTTACTAGATACATTCCTATGACTTTTTAGAATTCAGGATATGGAAATGACAGCATCAACAAAGCCCAAAATGTAACCAATTGCTTTCCCAAACAGTGGCTTAGCTTTGGAGAGAAGAAAACTAATTCTCAGTTAGAAAACTTGTCAATACCTTGTATACTTGTACAATTTACAAAAACAGTGTTAGGTGCTCTGGTCTGGAAAAGAGAAATGCAGGGGAAAAATGCAAGTAAAACTCCTTGCAATTGTTCAAGCCCTGGGTATTGCTATCTCTTGCAAGTGTGAAAGAATTTAAGATTTTATTAAGGAGAAATAGATCTATGAGACCGAAGAGCCTATTATTTGCTTTGATTTTATTTTCAGTATATGCATTGTGTACATATATAAAGTTTATTAAGCTGTAAAATACTGATTCTTGTTTTGACATGAAGAGTCTTATTGTATTAAAAAATGTGAGAGTTTAAAGGGAACTCCTAATCATTTATTCCTGAGAATGAATGAATGTAATCAGCAACTTTTGTCCCTAGTTACAGCTGAAGAATGTTTGATAGTGGGCAGAGAAGATATGATTTAAGATATTGGGAAAAGACACACTGGGCAGTTGAGGGTAGTCAGGAAAAGCAGGCTTGTGCAGAGGGAGAAAGGGAATGTAATATGAATACTTTTCCAAATGAGGATGTCTCCTTTCTAGACATCTTTGCAGCCACACAATTTAACACAGCAAATTTGCATGTTTAGAAAGTATTTATTGAGTTGAATTACAATGAAAAATATAGAAGAGATCCCAAGAGATACTTTGCCTATTTTAATCCTAGGATTGATCCCAAATTGTAAAGGCCCAGACAGGTGGACTCCTGTGCTGGCTGTTTCCATGGGCTCCTCTGCAGGCTCCAGGACTTCAGAAATGCCCTGGAAGAAACCCTGACCCGAAGAACTCCATCACTCATCACTCATTGGACAACAGAGGCTTCTTGATGTTTGCTGAAGTGATGGTGGGGTGAAAGCTCAACCTACTTACCCTCTTCTGCTTATGTGATAGAGCATGTGTTGAATCAGGCCATTAATTTGGGGTCTTTGTTCTTTCGGGTTATGTTTGATAAGAACATTTCTCCTCATCTGGATTAACAGAGACACAAGCAATGCAGAAACCACTGGAAAATTTGTAGTGAAAGGTGGCTTCTGATTCTTAGAAAGGACAGGGTTTTATAAATATTTAAGGTAGGTATAGACCTCTCTCTCTCTCTTTCTCTCTCTGTCTCTCTCTCTCTCCCTCTCTCTCTCTCTCTCTCATCTATCCATCATTTGTCCATAGAAAGGAAAGAGTTTTATAAGTATTTAAGGTAGGTAGAGACCTCTCTCTCTCTCTTTCTCTCTCTGTCTCTCTCTCTCTCCCTCTCTCTCTCTCTCTCATCTATCCATCATTTGTCCATAGAAAGGAAAGAGTTTTATAAATATTTAAGATAGGTATGGGCCTCTCTCTCTCTCTCTCTCACTCACTCTCTCTCTCTCTCTCTCATTCTCTCTGTCTCTATCTCTCCCTCTCTCTCTCATCTATCCATCATCTGTCCACACAGATACAATGGATGTGGCAGGAGGGAGTCACTCAGTGAAAAAAAAGAAACTAAGGTTTCTTGGCCTGATTAAATGAGAGAATGCACTTACCATTAATTGGGTTTTGGAAGACTATGGGAGTGGCACATTTGGGAGGAAAAATCAAGTTCTGTTTTGAGTGTTCTGTTTGAGTTCCTATCAGACATCTGGGAGAGAGTACTTATGCAGAACTCAGGGGAGAGGCCACATATGTTTGACCACTTCTGCATATGGATGGAAATTAAAGCCAACTGAATGGATGAGATGAGCTCACAGATAAATGTAAGAAAGACAGGAGACATTTGGAGACTGAGTCTTCATGCAATGCCATGCTTTGGTTAGGGAAACGAGTAAGAGAGGCTGAGAAGGAGTGAGTAGGGTGGCAGGAGGACATATGAGAGAATGGAGAGAATGGCTTTTTGGAGATCAAGTGAAGGCAATGTATCATGGAAATGAGAGGTGCTGATGGTGTCAAATGCTGAGTTGAGTAAGATAATCCTGGAAAAATGACCATTAGATTTGATGACATGGGGTTGACCTTGCCGAGGGTGATTTTCCTTTTATTGTCAGTCCAATTGAAGTGATTTCAAAAGATTATGATGGAAAAAAAGATGGGATTCAGGGATTGTAGATGCTTTTGATGAGTCCTGCTATAAGGGGAAGAAGACATCTCGACAAGAAGCTAGAGAGGCATGTGAGAGGTTCTTTTCTTTCACTGTTTTTCAAGATGGGAGCATCTTTTCATGATCATGGAAATGAGCCACAGAGAGGAAAAAATTTTGTGAGAAAGGTTGGAAAATTAGGACACTGATATCTTTGAGTAGACTAGAGGGGATGACATTCAGGATACCAGTGGAGGGAGGGGTTGTCCTTATATTCAGGTAAACAGTATCAAAACAATGAACTCAAGAAAAGAGGGGATTAACCTACTGATTTATTGATGACCGTAACAACGATAGATAGCTAATCATACTGTCTACTGGCAAGAACTAGGTTTTTTTATGAATAAGAAGGGATGATGCTCTAGAAGCCAAATGAAGAGTTGGGAGAACATCTACACCACCTCCAAGCCCACTGGTTCAAGGGCTTTAAAAGAACAGGCTGAAGGAGATGCAGTGTCCCCAAGGATCAGGCAGGCTTCAGCTAGAGGAGAAAGGTGGAGGGAATGCTCAGAGATGTAGCTGGAATATAGATTATTTTGCTGATGACCTTGAGTTCTAGAAGGCAGAGTGGAAGGAGTTGGGCTCTGTGGAGGCATCAGGGCTCAGAG
This sequence comes from Homo sapiens, assembly GCF_000001405.40. Taxonomy (NCBI): domain Eukaryota; kingdom Metazoa; phylum Chordata; class Mammalia; order Primates; family Hominidae; genus Homo; species Homo sapiens. The sequence goes on from NC_000007.14 coordinate 153,452,462, forward strand.
ATGTACACAATGAAATGGGGTAAGTTTCTGGCTGGTAAGGAATGACTTGTGAATTAGTGACTAAGGTATATAGGCTGAAGGACTGATAAGATTATTTCATATATGTTGTGGTGAGGGTATTCATACTGGGAGCAGGGATGAGAAGATTTCCCCAGAGCCAAGCATATAATAATGATGGCAACAAGATGGGATTCAGGAATTGTAGATTCTTTTGAGGAGTCCTGCTATAAGGGAAAAAGACAACTGGACAAGAAGCTAGAGAGGCATGTGAGTTCAAGGGGGATTCTTTTATTTCCTTGTTTTTAAAGATAGAAGCATCTCTGCACTTCAGTGCCATCGCTGTGATGGTGGTATGACGCCTGGGAGAGGGCAGTGCATGCAGAGCTCTGTGGGCATTCCCTGGGAGTTTTGCCAAACAGGGCTTCCTCATATGGCTGTGCATGTTGGACACTGCACAACTCCAGAGAAAGCTATTTCTATTCATTTGATGTGAATGGTACCCTGTACAATGGTAGCTCTTTCTTTATAGGTGAGTGACACCGGGTGTGCATGTAGGGCTTATTATTCCTCATTTTATTGATGAGGCAATTGAGGTACAGATGAGTCCGGTGACTTTCCTGATTTCACATTGCTATCAGTAACAGAACCAGATTTTGATTCCACCATTTGTAAGCACTCTTGAGCTCAGTGCTGCCTCTTGAATGCCAAGATCCCTCTGTCCCTCTGAGGCTATTACTAATAATCAAAAGCAAACAAACATTCAAATGCCCTTGAAGGGAAGAGAGTCAATGTATATAAGATAACAATTTACAAACAAAAACTGTCTTTAATATTACAGGCTTGCTTCAATTTTTTGATGGCTTTTGGCTGTCCATTCTTATTTAAGACCGAGAGATGAAAAGTCATTGGAAGCCATGTGTACATGGTCATTGAATGCTAAGATTCCATTTAGGGTTGTCGGACTGGGACTTGACCATTTTGTTAGAGAGATCCCAAAATATCAGTATTTGTAGGTCTTTCACCTTGGGCTAGATTATTTCTCTAGGGAAGATCCTGCAGTTCCTGCCTGAAGTATCTGGCTACCAGTATCCTGAGACCAAAGCAAGGAAAGTGGGCTGGGATAGCCTCCTTTCAGTATTTGGGTTTTACATTAAAGCCTTTGTTTTCAGCCCCTTGCTAAAACCTCCCAGCTCCTTGCTAAAAGCTCCCACTGTATCTGAAACTTCCAAACCCAGAATCTTCAGTTCAGTAATTGTGTTATTACGGAAACCTCTTGCACCCCACTTTAAATCTTCTCTGTCCACCTCTTATTCCAGCCACCAGTGTGATGACAAATCCCATGTGGGTGTGGCTAGTCTGACGCAGGGACCCTGGGTAGCACTTGGACCCCAACTCCTGGCCCTGCCCCTGAGCTCCTCTGGGGCCTAGAAGTGCAAAACCAGTGGGCACTGGCACAGGGCAACCTGGCGGGGTAGGGAAGCTGACACCATCCATCAGTGGTAGATGGAGATGAGAGAAAGTGCATTCCTCTTTCCTCACCTAGGGAAGATGGTTCTGAGCCCATTTCACAAGCCTTCTTAGACAGTCCCATCGGATGGAGCAACTTGTCACCCACAGCCCTGGCCAATATGATAATGACCCTGGCTGTTTCACTTTTCACTTCTGCTATTCCTTTACTCCTACTTCTTGGGATCATATTCCTAGATGAACAACACACACATAAGTCCTTAGCTCAAGCCCTGCCTTCGGGGGCATGTGTATGAAGAGGTAGGTGTCTGCATATATGCGTAGCTTTCAGGAGCTGGGTTGGCCAAGTGGCTGGGAAAGAGGACAGAGCCATCTGAGGCTGTAAGTAGTCTGTACACCAAAGTTCCCCCATCTCCTCTTCTTAGCCCCCACCCCACAGTCCTACTTTCAGTTCAATTCCTGAGGCTTTCTCACAGTTCAGTGGTGTAAATCACCTTGCTTTTTATTGCTTTCTTTCTCTGCAGATTAGGTTTCAGCTCTTTCCACTCTGATATATTATTTACCACCCATGCATCCGCTTTGCCTCTTCTAAAACCTCGTTGACGTCTCTCATCTGGCATCATCTCAACTGTTCTTGTTGTCCTTTTGGGTTCGTGTGTTCCCGTCACGCATTTGCTATCTTTTTCGGGGGCCTTCCAGAGGGACAGTCCAGAGATAAACACGCTTCTTCTATGCCATCCTCATATGGGGCCTTAGCATTTTCTTTGATACACGCTGTCTCATAAAGAGCCCGAACCCTGAGCTTTCGTTCTTTGTAACTTGTGATTAATGAGATTTGGGGAGAGACAACAAATGCCTCAGAGCTTTGATTTCCTCATCTGTAAAATTAGCTGTGTGAATTGATCTCTGAGATCTCTTCTCGCTCTAAAGCACTATTGATTATCTAACCTCCACCTTTGGCCCTCTGAGAAACTCATAGAAGCTACTAGTGCTCAGTATCTAACGGCAGAATTTGATGAATGCTTTGGTTTAGGGAGACCACGTTGTGCACTACCTCCCAGGAAATGCCTGGATGGATGAGATTTCCATCTGCTCAAGCCCTGGAGACAGCTTGTATTAACTCTGCAGGAATGTTTTTTATTCAATGTGTTTTTGTCTCTCTGGAATCCATTTGATAGTTTCTCTCCTTTGGCACCTTCAGAAAGCTTTGTAGGACATTGACCTTCAATTCTATAGAAACTCCTGGGCTGCTGCATTCACTGTTTTGCTTTTTCTAGAATTACTTATTGTCTAAAATGGATTTGGATAGAGGGGTCAAAAATGGACCGCAAACCCATGGCCTATTTGCACGTACACACACACACACACACACACACACACACACGGGTTGGGGAATGGAGGGAAAGGGAGAAAGAGAGAGAGCACAATGGGAATATCTCATTGTCTTGGAGTCCTAAGTTGTCCCAGGCATCAGTGAAGTGTATTTGCTGTCTAGGGACAGGGCTGGCTTCTCTCTAATTCATTTATCAAATCCCAGTCCTCACTGGTTTCAATCTCCCTTTTTTTTCCCCTACAAATGATCTGACATTTAGTGTGTGGCAGCTCTAGAAATGATTTTTGAATTCTTATACGAGCTAAAGAACATGAAAGGGAAGTATCTGGTAACATTAAACCTAGAATAGCACCTGTCCCTGTCTCCACGCAGAAGCCCAGTGCCTCCTATTCAACCTTCAAACTCAGCTCAAGTATCACTTCCTTTGAAAAGATTTCCTTAATTGTCCCAGACAAGGTGAGACACTCCCTCCTATTTTTTCTCCTGGATTACATCATAATTCTATGGCAATATATACATGTTTCTCTTAAAATAAATATCACCTTGAATTATAATTGTAGATGAGAAAAAAGTTAGTAAAATGAGACTCATCAGTTTGGGCTGGAAACAAAAAACTGTATTGCCACATTTTAAGGAGAAGAGCTAGATGGTTATATAGGCATTGCCTGAGGAATCAACTAAAGCTGGCTGTGTCTGTGCACCATTAATGTTTCACCTCCATCCCCTGTGAGAAGGTGAGGTTGAGGAGGCTGAGGAAGGAAATTCCTTTGAGGAGGGCTTTCAGAATAATCGGACACTTCCCTCCACTTGGCTGCCTCACCACTGCCACGGGGATGGGGAAAATGGGATGTGCTATTCTTGCCTCATGATGACTGAAAGGCAATTCAAGAAAACTACGTGGAGGCTGCAGAAATTTCCCCTGGAGTGTACAGAATCGACAGCCTGTCGTCTGATCCCCAGATAAGCTCAAAGAGAGAGGATGCGGCTGCAGCTCCATGGCCAGCAGCAAAGCCAAGAAGAGTGGTTTTTGTGAGCAAGCGTCATCTCCACAGACAGCAACACAGAGCTGCGGATCTTCTGAACATTCTTCTTTTTGGAGATGCCTGGGGATTGTCTTCAAAATGATCCATTTCAGGAAGATCACCATGGGAGAGAGGAATCCTGAGAGGGAGGTGGTCCATAGACACTCGGGGGCAAAGGGGAGAATTGTGGGGGCAGCTGGGATGAGGCGTTTCTCAGTTGGAAGGACAGAGAATCTTAAGAAATGTAGAAACACAAGAGGAGGAAGAGACAGAGATAGAGAGACAGAGACAGAGAAAGACAGAAACACAAAGATGGAGAGACAGGCAGAGGTAGAGAGACAGAGAGAGATGCACACACACAAAGGAGGAGGGGAGATAGAGGAGGGAGAGTTGTTTATGCAACCCAGGGGGCACCAATGCCAATCAACAGTTGTACCTTCCCTGTAAATGTAAAAGGCACCTTCTCTCCTGATGCCCTTGCACCTACATTCAGCCTTGGAAGCGTCAGCCATAGGAGCTAGTGAGGCAGGGATGAAGTTGAAGAAAAATCAACAACTGACCACACTTTCCTTCCTGGCCTTGTCTGTCCAGTGACCTCAGCAAGGGCTCCTCTCGGCTCTTCCATATGTGGTTTGCTCTCTGATTGACATCCAGCTCTTTTCTGTATCCTACACCCTGAATGCCTTTTCCACTCCCTTACACGGTCACCACCAACCTTCTGAACTCAGCTGAGGCACACATTTAATATGATTCCATTCCTGGATCATTTGTATCTCTGAAATTCTTCATCCGTGGTGAGCACTAGCATGTCTAAGGGCACGACACAAGGCACATGGTTGTGGCAGCACCCCTTGCAGGATAGCGGAAGGCTTGCCCATGGCAGAAACTAAACTGGTCTGTGGAGGGTCTGCCAGGTAGGGAATAGGGTCCAAGTAGGAAACAAGCTGTATTTGATTTGGACAGTGGTTGGCGGAAGCAGAATCTCCAATGAAGACTGCAGAGTTCTGGTGCAGATCAAGGAATCTGGAAATGCGGGCTCTTCAGCCAGGCTGTCTTCTGGGAACTTGCTACCACATAGAGTGTCCTGCCGGGCTGTGGTTCTGGAGGAGAGTCTTATGCTGGAAGAAAGAGTCCTGTGTACTGGAATGGGTAAAGAATGTGACACTTTCATTTATTCATCCATATAATTCAGTTCCACTTTGAAAAAATTAGGTGTGGTTGACATGATTCTGGACTCATGGTTTTCAAACATTCGTGTGCATAGGCATCACTTGGGGGACCAATACTGATTCTTGGGACTCACACTGTGATTCGAGTTTGGGGTGGGCCCTGGAAATATGTACTGGAATAAGTTTTCCAGGTGACACGACAGATGGTTCCCAGACCCTCAGACCACTAGGCATGTGACCTCCCACCAATTTCCACTTTTCTAGAGGCTGAACACAGACTTTGCCTTTTCTGCTTCTCTCTCCCAGTGTTATGTAATTAAAGCTAAGCCTTTGAGCAATTCAAGAGGGGCTGGTGGATGGAGGTTGCAATTAGATTTTTCTGCAGTAGCGTGACAACGGATTATTTCAGCCCATGGAGAGGCAGGTGGGGACTGATTGTAACAATGGGCAGAAAGGTCTGTGAGTCACTCTCCCGTCTTACTAAATGTTTGCCCACACGGAAGATTTGTTCCATCACTTCATAATGATGCTATGAAATTGTGCTTCCTCCTTGGCACTGCCTGCTGAGTAATTTATAGGACACAGAGGACGAGGCAAGTAATTAGGTTTTGTTTTTTGTTATCGTTGGGTGACTCAAATGCAGTTGTTTTCTTGTCATTCCTGATTTCTGCAAAGTGCGCTGCTCTGACACATCCACGTGTGGAAGCCAGAGCATATTTACAGTTTATCTGAAAAGTACCTTCTTTCAACACTGTTTTTCTTTCTGCACACAACAGAGATTAAAAATAGAAACCATTAGCCCCACAGGGAGTGGGGAGCAGAACCCCTGGGTTCTGAACAGCTTAGGTAGTTTAGAACAAACAAACATTTCTCATCTATTTTTAGTAGAGAAGGCAGTATTTCCAACAAGTGGACTTTAAAAAACAAACAAACAAACAAACAAACAAACAAACAAACAAAACCTGTGGAGATTGTTTCTTAGTGACACAAATCATTCCTTAGACACTTACCCAAGGGATGACTTGGATGCCAGGTTTGCATGCAAAAAAGAAGCTCTCCAGCAGATGCTAAAGTGGCTTTTGTTGTGTTTTTTCAAGGAATGGGTAGTTTCTAGATGACCTATAATGTATTATTCTTTCCCTTGCTCAGTGCTGCTATTTACAGCCTCAAGAACAGAACAAAGCAGACCAGCTTGTTGTGGTACTGAAATTATGCAGTCTGCTTCACAAGTATTGTGGCTAAATGGCCCCCTTCGTTAATTCACTCATTCATTCCACATATGTTAATAAAGAACTTGATGCTGGATACTGTCCTAAGCCCTGGGGATACAGCTGTGAGCAAAACGGGAATACATTTCTGTGATAAGGTTAAAGTCTGATTCCAGGGCCTTTCCGTTAGTGGTTTCGGTATGACTTTGGAAAAGGTGACAAAACTCCTTGAACCTGAATTTCCTCACTTGTCAAATGAGTTTTGTGTTATCAGTGTTTCTCAAAATTTCCTCCTCACAGCCAGGAACAGTGGCTCATGCCTATAATCCCAGCACTCTGGGAGGCCGAGGTGGGGAGATCACTTGAGCTCAGGAGTTCGAGACCAGCCTGGCCAACATGGTGAAACCTCGTCTCTACCAAAAATACAAAAAATTATCTGGGTGTGGTGACACACATCTGTGGTCCCAGATACTCAGGAGGCTGAGGTGGGAGGAAGGCTTGAGCCTGGGAAGTGGGTTTTGCAGAGAGCTGAGATCGCGCCACTGCACTCCAGCCTGGGTGACAGTGAGATCTTGTCTCACACACACACACACACACACACACACACACACACACACACACACAAATTCCTTTGTCATAAGCATCCCCAGGAATGTTTGGTGAGCAGAAGCGGCTCCCTTGGAGGCTCTGAGGCTCTGATTCAGTATGTCTGGACCAGCCTTGTCCAGTGGAAATACAATGTGAGCCACACATAGAATTTCAAATTTTATGGCAGCTATAGTTTTTGAAAAGTAAAAATAAATAGATGAAATTAATTCTAATATCTTGTATTTAATTTACTATATTTGAAATCTCAACATTTCAACACAGAACTAATTTAAAGTAGTAATGAGTTATTTTGCCTTCTTCTTTTGCATTTAGTCTTCAAAATCTATTGCGTTTCCTACACTTGTAGCACAACTCAATTCAAAGCAGCCACATGTCATGTGCTCAGCAGCCACCAGTGGCCAGTGGCCACCATATTCGACAATGCATGGGTCCTTGGAATCTACCTTTAACAAATGGCCCAGGTGGTTCTTATGATGGAGCAAGTGGAGAGAGTAGTCTAGGTGCTCTCTAAGTGAGCTCCCAACTCTAATATTCTATCAGAATATGAAGGGTTGGGGAAAGCACATTAGTGGGTCTACCACTCAATTGGCAATTAACGCATGTTCATATTTTCAGAACATCAATTTCAAGACTGATTTTACTTTCCTCTGTTTTCTCTCCCTCCCATCCTCCATGTCTTTTAAGCTGCCAATCAGGAAGACATAATGGTATTGGAGATGATTCAGAGAAGAGAATTTCAAATGATCAAGGGGATAAGAAAGCTGTCTTATAAGGATAAACTACAAAGAACAAAAGTTTTCAAGCTAGAAAAACCAGGCTGAAAAGTAAGGATGATCAAAGTCTCTAAAGTTATGAAGTCGATGGAAAAAATGAACATGAATGTTTTAAAATCGAAAAATAGCACAACAACAGGAACAATTGGGAAGCCATAGGACAAAATAATGAGAAAAAAGTACATTAGGCAGCAGATACAGAAGTTAGAGAACTCATTCCCTATGGTATAGAAAAGGATATATTGCAAACAATTCAAATAACATTTTGGCATGAGTCATACCTTCTTACAATATCCCAAGACATTCTGTATATCCTTAGTAAGTAGTTAAGTTTGATTTTAGAAAGAACACTTTCTATCTGTACATCTATCCTCCCGCCCATGTATCTGCTCATTAAATTTTATAAAGGCCTAAACTGTAAAATAGGTTTTGTTGGGGGATTTTAATATGTAGAACATCATTTAATATACTCAATAATCCTCCAAAGTACATACTATTATATCTATTTAAGAGATGAGAAAGGCCTCAGAGAGATTAAGTGACTTGTCCAATGCATTTGGCTGGCAAGTCATGTTAATGATTGGTGTATTTTTAAAATAAATTTCATTGTATATATTTAAGGTAAACAACATGATGTTATAAAATGCATTTATATATATGCAGTCTCCCCTTATCCATGATTTTGGTTATCTTAGTTTCAGTTACCCAAAGTCAACTGTGATCCAAAAATAAATGAGGACAGAAAGTTGAAAACTCCATGTTCTTAGTCATATGTAGAAGCCAAAAAAAAAGTTGATCTGACAGAAACAAAAAGTAAGACATTGGATACTAGAGGCTGGGAAGGGTGGTGGAAGGGGAAATAGGGGGAGATTTGTTAAAGAACACAAAATTATAGATAGATAAGAAGAATAACTTCTAGTGTTCTACATTACTGTAGGATGACTATAGTTAACAATGATATATAGTTTCAAATAGCTAGGAGGATATTGAATGTCTGACACAAAGAAATGATAAATTTTTGAGATGATGGGTATGCTAATTGCCCTTATCTGATTACTATTTATGATGTGTAATACAATTAATATCTATATCATAAATATGTACAATATGTCATTTAGAAATTAAAATATTTTTTAAAAGATATTTTGAGAGAAACCATATTCACATAACTTTTATTAAAGTATACTATTATAATCATTCCATTTTATTATTAATTATTGTTGTTAATCTCTTATTGTGCCTAATTTATAAATTAAATTTTATCCTATGTGTGTGATATGGTTTGGCTATTTCTCCACAACCCCAAATCCCACCTTGAATTGTATTAATCCCCACGTATCAAAGGCAGGGCCAGACAGAGACAGTTGAATCATGGGGGCAGTCTCCCACATACTGTTCTCTTGGTAGTGAATGGGCCTCACAAAAATCCGATGGTTATATAAACAGGCATTTCCCTACACATGCTCTCTTGCCTGCAACCATGTAAGATGCTCCTTTGCTTTTCCTTTGTCTTCCACCTTGATTGTGAGGCCTCCCCAGCCGTGTGTAACTGTGAGTCCATTAAACCTCTTCCCTTTATAAATTACGCAGTCACAGGTATGTCTTGTTAGCAGCATGAGAACAGACTGACACAGTAAATTGTACCAGTAGAGTAAGGTGCTGCTGTAAAGATACCTGAAAATGTGGAAGTGACTTTACAACTGGGTAACAGGCAGAGGCTGGAGCAGTTTGGAAGGCTCAGAAGAGGACAGGAAGATGTGGGAAAGTTTGGAACTTCCTAGAGATTTAGAATGGCTTTGACCAAAATGCTGATAGTAATATAGAGAATGAAGTCCAGGTTGAGATGGTCCCAGATGGAGATGAAGAACTTGTTGGGAACTGAAATAAAGGTGACTCTTGCTATGTTTTAGCAAACAGACTGGTGGCATTTTGCCCCTGCCCTAGAGATCTGTGGAACTTTGAACTTGAGAGAGATGATTTAGGGTATCTGGTGGAAAAAAATTTCTAAGTGGCAAAGTGTTCAAGAAGAAGCAGAGCATGAAAGTTTGAAAAATTTGCAACGTGACAGTACAGTAGAAAAGAAAAACCCATTTTCTGGGAAGAAATTCAAGCCAGCTGCAGAAATTTGCATAAGTAATGAAGAGCCAAATGTTAATCACCAAGACAGTGGGGAAATTGTCTCCAGGGCATGTCAGAGACATTTGCAGCAGCCCCTCCCATCCCAGGCCCAGAGGCCTAGGAGGAAAATACGGTTTTGTGGGCTGGGCCCAAGGCCCACCTGCTGTGTGCAACCTAGAGACTTGGTGCCCTGTGTCTCAACTGCTCCCACCATGGCTAACAGGGGCCAAGGTGCAGCTCAGGCTGTGGCTTCAGAGGGTACAAGCCTCAAGTCTTGGCAACTTCCAACAGCTGTTGAGCCTGCGGGTGCATAGAAGTCAATAGTTGAAGTTTGGGAACCTCTGCCTAGTTTTCAGAGAATGTATCGAAGTGCCTGGATGTCCAGGCAGAAGTTTGCTGCAGGGGTGGGGCCCTCATGGAGAACCTCTGCTAGGGCAGTGCAGAAGGGAAATGTGGGGTTGGAGCTCCCACACAGAGTCCCCACTGGGGTAGTACCTAGTAGAGCTGTGGGAAAAGGACCATTGTCCTCCAGACCCAACAGCTTGCACTGTATGCCTGGACCTGTATGTATCCACAGATACTCAACACCAGCTGGCAAAAGCAGCTGGAAGGGGGCTGTCCCTGCAAATCCACAGGAGTGGGGCTGCCCAATGCCAGGGGAGCCCACTTCTTGCATCAGCATGACCCGGGCTTGAGACATGGAGTCAAAGGAGATCATTTTGGAACTTAAAGGTTTAATGATGACCCTGTTGGGTTTTGGACTTGCATAGGGCCTGTATCCCCTTTGTTTTGGCCACTTTCTCCTATTTGGAATGGGTGTATTCAATGCCTGTATCCCCACTGTATCTAGCAAGTAATTAACTTGGTTTCAATTTTACAGGCTCATAGGTGGAAGGGAATTGCCTTGCCTCAGAAAAGACTTTGGACTATGGACTTTTGAGTTAATGCTGAAATAAGTTAAGTCTTTGGAGAACTGTTGGGAAGGCATGATTGGTTTTGAAATGTGAGTACCTGAGATTTGGGAGGGGCTGGGGTGGAATGATGCGGTTTGGCTGTGTCCTCACCTAAATCTTACCTTGAATTGTAATAATCCTCATGTGTCAATGGTATGTCTTCATTAGCAGCATAAGAACAGACTAATATAGTATGTATGTATGGGAGAAAAATAGTATGTGTTGGGTTTGGTACTTCAGGCATTCACTGGGGGTCTTGGAACATATACTCCAGGGATAAGGGTAGACTACTCTAAAATGGTTACTTTCTTAGTTTGTTTTTCATTGCTGTTACAGAATACCACAGACTAGGTAATTTATACATAAAAGTTTATTTGGCACACAGTCTGGAGGCTGGGAAGTCCAAGAGATTGGTTTCAGCCACTGGCAAGTGTTCTTCCATGGTAGAAGGATGACAGGCAGAAGGGAGTACATGAGACAGAGGAAAAAATAGGGCCAAACCCCCGTGATACCACAATAGCAATAATCCATTCATGACAGTGCTACCCTCACAATCCAATCACCTCTCAAATGCCTGACCTTCCAATGCCATTACAATGGGAATTCAGTTTCCAGCATGAGTTTTGGAGGAGACATTCAGACCATATCAGTTACTATAGTGGGACAAGTTCATTGTAACTACATTTAGTGCTCTATACAAAAGGCAGGATGTGGGGACGGATCTCTATGAAGCTGGCCCAGGATATTCTTATGAGTACACTGGAAACTTCCTTTTCTCAGAAGATCTGTCACCAAGACTGAATTGAGTGCTTCTGCCAGAACTCCATGGTACAAAGCCAGCACTCCCAGTACCCATGTCATGTGTAGGTTTTTGGAAATGCCCTGCCAGTGCTTCTGGGAGCCTTTGTATTACTATCACAGAGCAGTTGCAGATGTGCTCAATCAGTTTGGTTTGTTAATCTTTCATGAGACAATACAGTGTGACAACCTTTAGGAAATACTAAACTTTGTTAGAATCATAAAAGCACACACTATCAAAACTAGAGGAAACCATTAAGTTGATCTTTTCCAACTTGATTGTTCACATTAATGACTCAACTGATACGTATTAGTGACCTTAGACCAGAGCTGGAATTAGAATCAGTAGCCTGGGTCCCAGTCCAAAGCCCTTTTCAAGTTAGTAGGTTTTGCAGACAATGACCTTTCATTGGTATCTAGTATGCAAAGTAAGTCAGCATTTGACATTTTATTTCTTGATATTTGATTGGGGTACCTGAAATATGTCACATTGAACTGAAAAACATCAGGACTAATAATATGCAAAAATTATTTACAGCTTGTAATTGAAGATTAAATGTTGAAGAAAATTATTCTGGGTGACTTCAGAGGAGAGGCTTACATTTCTCCCCTTTCTTTTTGTTATGTTCTACTTTTGAGTTCTTTGCACATGTTATTTTCTCCATCTGGAATATCTTCCTCACTCATCTTTCTCTATTTGGTCCATGATATTGTTTGGCTCTGTGTTCCCACCCAAATCTCATCTTGAATTGTAATCCTAGAATTCCCATGTGTTGTAGGAGGGACCCAATGGGAGATAATTTGAATCACAGGGGCAGTTTCCCCCACTCTGTTCTCGTGGTGGTGAATAAGTCTCAAGAGATCTAATGGTTTTATCAGGGGCTTCCACTTTTGCATCTTCCTCATTTTCTCTTGCTGCTGCCATGTAAGAAGTGCCTTTCCCCTCCTGCCATGATTCTGAGGTCTCCCCAGCCATATGGAACTGTAAGTCCAATTAAACCTTTTTTTCTCCCCAGTCTTGAGTGTGTCTTTATCAGCAGCATGAAAATGGACTAATACAGTAAGTTGGTACTAGTAGAGTGGGGTGCTGCTGAAAAGATACCCGAAAATGTGGAAGTGACTTTGGAACTGGGTAGCAGGCAGAGGCTGGAACAGTTTGGAGTGCTCAGAAGAAGACCAGAAAATGTGGGAAAGTCTGGAACTCCCTAGAGACTTGTTGAATGGTTTTGAACAAAATGCTGATAGTGATATGGATGATGAAATTCAGGCTGAGGTGGTTTCAGATGGAGACGAGGAACCTGTTGGGAACTGGAGCAAAGGTGACTCTTTTTATGTTTTAGCAAGGAGACTGGTGGCATTTTGCCCCTGCCCTAGAGATCTGTGGAACTTTGAACTTGAGAGAGATGATTTAGGGTATCTGGCAGAAGAAATTTCTAAGCAGCAAAGCATTCAAGAGGTAGCTTGGGTGCTGTCAAAGGCATTCAGTTTTAAAAGGGAAACAGAACATAAAATTTGCAAAATTTGCAGCTTGACAATGAAATAGAAAAGAAAATCCAATTTTCTGAGAAGAAATCCAAGCTGGCTGCAGAAATTTGTATAAGTAACGAGGAGCCAAATGTTAATACCCAAGACAATGAGGAAAATGTCTCCAGGGCATGTCAGAGGTCTCCATGGCAGCCTCTTCCATCACAGGCCTGGAGGCCTAGGAGGAGAAGGTGGTTTTGTGTGGATGGGCCCAGGGTCCCTATGCTGTGTGCAGCCTAGGGACTTTGTGCCCTGCATCCCAGCTGCTCCAGCTGTGGATGAAAGGGCCAACATAGAGCTTGAGTGATGGCTTCAAAGGGTATAAGCCCCAAGCCTTGGCAGCTTCCAAGTGGTGTTGAGCCTGTAGGTGCACATAAGTCAAGAACTGGGGTTTGGAAACCTCTTCCTAGATTTCAGAAGATGTATGGAAATGCCTGGATGCCCAGGCAGAAGTTTGCTGCAGGGATGGGGCTCTCATGGAGAACCTCTGCTAGGGCAGTGCAGAAGAGAAATGTGGGATTGGAGCCCCCACACAGAGTTCCTACTGGTACACTGCCTAGTGGAGCTGTAAAAAAAGAGGGCCTTCATCCTTCAGACCCCAGAATGGTAGATCCACCTACAGCTTGCACTGTGTACCTGGAAAAGTCACAGATACTCAACACCAGCTCATGAAAGCAGCTGGGAGGGAGGCTGTACCCTGCAAAGCTACAAAGGCAGAGCTGCCCAAGACCATGGGAACCCACCTCTTGCATCAGTGTGACCTGGATTTGAGACCTGAAGTAAAAGGAGATGATCTTGGAACTTTAAAATTTGACTGCCCCGCTGGATTTCAGACTTGTGTGGGCCCTGTAACCCCCCGTTTTGGCCAGTTTCTCCATTTGGAATGGCTGTATTTACCCAATACCTGATCCCCCACTGTATCTAGGAAGTAACTAGCTTGCTTTTGATTTTACAGTCTCGTAGGTGAAAGGGACTTGCCTTGTCTCAGATGAGACTTTGGACTGTGGACTTCTGGGTTAATGCTGAAATGAGTTAAGACTTTGGGGGACTATTGGGAAGGCATGATTGGTTTTGAAATATGAGGACAAGAGATTTGGAGGGGCCAGGAGTGGAATGATATGGTTTGGCTCTGTGTCCCCACCCAAATCTCATCTTGAATTGTACTCTCAGAATTCCCATGTATTGTGGGGGGACCTGGTGGGAGATAATTGAATCATGGGGGTGGTTTCCCCCATATTGTTCTCTTGATACTGAATAAGTCTCACGAGTTCTGAAGGTTTTATCAGCGGTTTGCACTTTTGCTTCTTCTTCATTTTCTTTTGCCACAGCCATGTAAGAAGTGCCTTTTGCCTCCTGCCATGATTCTGAGGCCTCCCCAGCCATGTGGAACTGTAAGTCCAATTAAACCTCTTTTTCTTCCCACTTTTGGGTATGTCTTTATCAGCAGCATGAAAACGAACTAATGCAGCCCACATTCTGTGATATCCACTGTATTCATTGGAATAGAACAGATATGCTGTGGTGGCAAAAGAAAAGCCCTGGAAAGACTGTATTTCTCACAACACTGTCAGCTATGGGTTGAGTGGCTTCTCTGCATAGGCTCCCCTGCAGTGCTCCCTTGCATAGGTCTTCTGCATGGGTCTCCTGTAAGCTCTCCTACATGGGTCTCCTGAAGGTTCTCCTGCTGGGTCTCCTGCAGTGTTCTCCTGCATGGGTCCTTTGCATGGTCTCCTATCAGCTCTCCTGTCTGAGTCTCCTGAAAGTTCTTCTGCTGGGTCTCCTACAGTGCTCTCCTGCATGGGTCTTCTGCATGCATCTTTTGCAGTGATTCCCTGCATGGGTCTTCTGCATGAGTCTCCTGCAAGCACTCCTACATGGGTCTCCTGCAGTGCTCTCCTACGTGGGTCTTCTGCATCCAACTTCTGTAGAGCTCCCCTGCATGAGTCTTCTGCATGAGTATCCTGCAAGCTCTTCTGCATGGATCTTCTGTAATGCTCCCCTGCATGGGTCTTCTGCATCCATTTCCTGTAGTGCTCCCCTGCTGACTATTTTGCATGGGTCTCCTGCAGTGCTCCCCTGCAGGGGTCTTTTGCATGGGTCTCTTGCAATACTGTCCTGCATGACTCTGCTTTGTGGCTTTCCTGTTGACACAGGCTCTCTTATTGGCAGAGATCTAAACTACTTCCATATTGCAGTGCCTCCATGTTAGAGTCCTTTCCTTCTAGCCACATGGTGAGAGGCAGTGAGAGACAGAGAGAGAGGAGAGAAAGGAGAAGTAAGATGAAAGTGCAGATGCCTAGAAAAGACACATACGCTGGTATTTGCCTCAGACCTCAGCTAGCAAGAGAGACACCATTCCTGCTCATGTCCCAAGAATTAGTTAAATGACCTCATCCAGGTATCCTGGTCTGGAAGTTAGGAGGATCATATGGGTACTTGGTGAGTAGGAATGGTCTCTGCCATGTCATATCTGGATGCTGTCTCCCTGCCCCTATTATCCTTCGAGAAGCCTTCCATAAGAACTCTATTTTGAGCTTTCCTTCAGCAAGATGGGTTTGAATTGTTTACTGACAGTCTCAGGTCAATGACAGAGCAATAAGATCTTTTAGGGAAGAGAGCTTGTAAATGTCTCTTATATGATGCTACCACCTTTTCTCCATCCCCTCAACCTTTCCTTCCACTCCTCCTCATTTTTCTCATTCACGATGCTAAGTGTGATGCTTTGCCCAACATAGGTGATCAACATGGGCTGGAAGTTGGGTGTTAGGCTTCATTGATGGCAGAGGGATAAAGGTTACTTTGATTATCCATTTGAGCAGAAAAGGGAGTCATGGCTTACCCGCTACATACCTGAGAAAATCATGGGGTTGTTATTCACCATAAGTGCATCACTTTGTGGTCAACATGTTGTGCTAATTATACAAGTGAATCTAGTCCCTAACTGCCTTGTGATTCTAGACTATAGAAGGTGACCATTCTACCATATCCTGGAGTATTGTGTTCATTTCTGGAAACCCTGAAAGTAGAGATTTGAACAAATGAGGAGGTGAAAGAACTGAAGCCTGGAGAATCATAAAAAGCATGACTTACATTCAAATATTTGTAGGTCTATATTATAGGCTGCTAAGTTGATAAAAGTTAATTTGTTTGACCCCAAGGAGCAAAGTATAATTTAGAGACAGATAGGTTTGAATTTCGTGTTCAGAAAAATGTTATTAATAACAGGAAGTTTCTGAAAGCAAAGTGGAGCTGTGAGTTATTGTCCATACATGGGCAGAAGCTGGTAGATCTTGCTGAGGTCATATTAGAGAAAGTTCCTGCATCAGACACAGCATGGGAATACCTGATGTGCTTTGCTTTCCTCTCTGAAATTCTGTTATACTCTTATCTTTGAGTCTTAGATGAGCCAACTGAATTTGGCTTTCCTCAGACATCATGAGGAAAATAATGTCCTTCTTAAGCCTTTAATAACTGTGTAGTGGGAAGGTTTGTCTTAAGAGTATATATATATATATTTTTGATGGAGTCTTGCTCTGTTGCCTAGGCTGGAGTGCAGTGGTGCAATCTCGGCTCACTGCAAACTCTGCCTCCTGGGTTCACACCATTCTCCTGCCTCAGCCTCCCGAGTAGCTCGGACTATAGTTGCCCGCCACCATGCCTGGCTGTTTTTTTTTTTTTTGTATTTTTAGTAGAGACAGGGTTTCACTGTGTTAGCCAGGATGGTCTCGATCTCCTGACCTCGTGATCCACCTGCCTCGGCCCCTCAAAGTGCTGGGATTACAGGCGTGAGCCACCGCACCCGGCCCCAGAGTAAATTCTTAGAAGTGAGATTGCTAGGATAAAAACCAAATGCATATGTAATTTTGTTGCATATTGCCAAATCCTCCTTCAGAGAGATGGTGCCTTTGCTGTTTCCACCAGCAGTGTAGGAGAGTGCGTTTCCCTACAGCCTCGCAAACAGAAGGCATTGTCGAATTTCCAAGTTTGCCAGTCTAATGGATGTGAACTAGGATTGGTGTTTTAACTTGCATTTCTCTTATAGTGAGAGGATCTGAACATCTTTTCATATGTTATCTTTTGTGCATTGTTGCTTCATGTCTTTGCTAATTTGCCTCTAAAATTTTTTTCCTTTTTTTCCTCTTAATTTTTAAAAGATGTTTCAAGTTAGGAGTATTAACCTTTTATGGGTGATGAATACTGAAAATCTTTTCTCCCAGTACTCATTCGTCTTTTAACTTCTTTGCTTACGGTGTTTACCATTTTGAGTAGTTTGTGTATTTGTTTGTTTTTAGTTTTTTGCTTTTGACATGCAAAAGTTTTATTTTTATGTGGTCACATTTATCTTTTGGTTTTCTGTATGGGGATTTTTAACAATTAGAAAGCCTTCCTCCATACTCAAGGTGCAGAGGGATTCCATCATGTTTTCTTCTAGTGTGTGTATATTTTTATTTTTTTTTACTTTCGGATCTCTGACATCTCTGGGGTTTATTTTGTGTGTGTGGTATCAGAAACGGATTTAATTTTACCTTTTTCAGAATTGCTCTCCAGTTGTCAAAGCTCCTCTTAGGCCTTGGATAACTTTGGTGGGGGGCAAAATTTTTGTTTTGAAACAAAAATTACTGCTTTGTTTCAAAACATTGGCCACCGCCCTGCTGCCTAAATCTAAACTCCTCAGGTGCTCTCAGGCCTGGCTGGGCTCCACCTCTTCACTGTACTGCAGACCTCAGCCTGATCCATGGTCTGCACTCCCGAGCACTAGTGTTCTTTGCCACAGAGGACAAAGCAATCCAGAAGATCCTCAGGCGCCACGTGAATTGCTTCTCTCACGTTAGTGCTATTGCCTCTCGTAAATGGCAAAGTCCTTGAAGGCAGCAGCTATGCTCTTCTATCTTGGGTGACCCTACAGCACCAAACTCAGACATGAGAACACAGTGAACATCCACAAGTGCTTCTGGACTTACGATATTTTGAGATGTGAACAAGACATGCTATCTCCCTAAAACACACACGATTCCTCCAGTCATGTCTCCTTGAGTGGCTGCTACATGACAGGCACTGTGTGACAGGCATAGTGTGATAAGCACGGGCACAGCAAAAACAAAGTCCCCTGGAGCACAGAGTGTGGTTGTGGACACCAGCAATAAATAAAAAAGCAGAGATGCAAGCTCATGGCATGGCAGGTGGCATGGACTTTAGAAAGAAGAGCAGGGAAGTAGGATCAGGGCTATGCTCAGTAAAGTGAGTGACTTGAGTGAAGTGGAGGGAGGACCCCGGTGAAGACATGGAGAAGGTGCATGCCAGGTAGAAGGTACAGAGGTGAGGATGCTTTGCCGGGAGGGAATGATCTTAGAGTTTGAGTAACAGCAAAATGCTTGCGTGTGGAGGGAATAAACTAAGGGAAGGGCTGGAGGAGCTGAAGTCAGAGAGAGAGGCAGGGGCTTTATGCCTCGTGGCCCCATTGACCACAGATGTACATGAAGGGAAGGGAGCAGAAACGTGGCCTGTGTGCCATGGTATATGTGGAAAATGGAACATCAGCCGCAAGTGCGGATGCAGCAAGAGTGGCAGGAGGCTGCTGGTGTCCGGGCAGGACACATGTACACATGTGGCCGAGGCTCAGTGGGAACAGTGGAGGGGGTGAGAGAGGTTAGATTTGGGATCTAGTGTGAGGATGAGGCCAGCAGAACTTTCCTCTGTGTTGAATGTGGGAGTGAGGGAAAAAGAGATTTAAAGATGATGCCTGATGCCTATGTTTCTGGTCTGCATAACTGATAGATAAGGGTGTCATTTTCTCATTTCCAAGTGGACCTAGCATCTCATGATTTCCCTGTTCATAGCATCTGGGTTCTGTCAGGTAACTGAAGCAGGCTGAACCTTAAAATGACCACCTCTCCAAGGTTGTAACCGGGGAAATAAATGCCGTTTGCGCCTAACTACCTTCATGAAGGATTCAGAGGCGCTCATGCTCATCAGCTCTGGCAGGCATTGATTCGGGGGAAGGGGGTGTTCAGCTCAGAGAGAGGCCAGCTCTCCTGCATCTGCTCGTATGGGCAGTTGGCAGAGAGAAGGGCAATGCTGACCTTAAACCAAGGTCAGGAAGGGTCTGTCGATAGGGTGGAGCCACCTGGCCTTTACTAATGTAGGAAAAGCTTTTCACACTATCCTCTGACTGGTTCTCTCGGCAGCATTTAGAGTGAGCACTGTGAGCCGGGACGTGCTCTGGGTGCTCTCGCTGCTCCCAGCAGAAGGGTTCAGCCCGAGGTGCAAGGTCAGATGAGCGGATTCCATGGTGTGCACGGCAGCGAGGCATGAGGGCAGTGCGGAGAGGAGCAACATGTCTCAATGTTAGGAGAAAAGAGAAATTCCTTCAAAGGGGTCATTGGCATCAGGAAGAGAGTATGGACCAATTCACAAAGAATACATTTCCCAAATAGAATTCCAAGCATTAAAAATGTATTGGGTATGCCTGTAATCCCAGCACTTTGGGAGGCTAAGGTGGGCGGATCACCTGAGGTCAGGAGTTTGAGACCAACCTGGCCAACATGGCAAAACCCCATCTCTCCTAAAAATACAAAAATTAGTAGGGCATGGTGGCGTGCACCTGTAATCCCAGCTACTTGGGAGGCTGAGGCATGAGAATCGCTTGAACCCAGGAGGCAGAGGTTGCAGTGAGCTGAGATCGTGCCACTGCACTCCAGCCTGAGAGATAGTGCAAGACTCTGTCTCCAAAAAAAAAAAAAAAAAAAAAAAAATGTATTGGGGAAAAAACAGCCATGTAAGACCTCAGGCCTTAAGGAAAGGGTGATGGCCAGTGCTTAAAGGAAAGAGAGAGCCTCAGTGCCCAGAAGGCGAGTTAAGGACCTACAGAAACTGGTGTTTCGTGTGGCCTGCTCTCTAAGGATATGGCAGAAAGGCAGATTAAGGGGTATAGTATCAAAAGGGAGGAAGCACCACAGTTGAACTGAGTCCCTGATACTATGGTCCAGGACTCTGAGATTTCACTCTCCAAGGACAGGATTAGACCCTCGGTCTGAGGCTGAAGGTTAAGTGCTTCCACCGGCAAAGAGCGAATGGTTGCTGGGGTATTGAGCCAAGAACAGCCACAGCGAAGGTTCACAGTGAGTGAGTGATACCGCTGGGAATCAGCCAGAAACAAAGCACCACCATAAAGAATATCACTTATAAGGATAGGACTTTCCTGTCCATTTAGGAATCACTGTCCTGGAAAACTCAGTTCCGTTCGTGTTGCCTTTGCGTTGGCCAGTCAGCGGTGCCAGCTGGAAGATACATAGACGAAGCTCAGTGGTGTGGATCAGGCAGGGTTAAGCACTGACAACAAAGTCATGGTAGGGAGACCACATGGAAAATGTGACCAGAGAAAAGATCCAGGAGAAAAAGTGTCTTGCTTGGTACAGGCATCTAAGACAGCTGGATTTTTCTTGAGTCTTTTTGGATCCTGTGGTCAGCAGAGTAACCTGATACATCTTGGGTGGCGGTTAACTATTTGTTTCAACTTGGTGGGGCCACAGTCCCCAGACATTTGGTCATTCTTGTGGGTGTGCTTTGAGGGTGTTTTTGGGAGAGATTAACATTTGGACAAGCAGACTGAGTAAAGCAGGTTGTCTTCCTTAATGTGGAAGGACTTCATTCAATCAGTTGCCTGAACAGAACAAAAGGTTGACCCTTCCCCTAGTAAAAGAGAATTCTCCCTGCCTGGTGGCCTTCAAACTGGGGCATCAGCTCTTCCTTTTTCTACAGCAGCTGCTGCTCTTCAGACTCAGACTGGATCATTGACTCTGCAGATTGTGAACTTGCCAGCCTCTATCTATCATCTCTCTATGTTTCTGCCTGTGTGTCTGTCTGTGTGTCTGTCTACCTACCTACCTACCTACCTATCTCTCCTGTTGCTTTCTGTTCCCCTGGAGAGCCCTGACTAACACATCTTATTATAGGATTAGTCAGAACTCCCAACAATTTTGCCTGGTGAAGTCTGCTCAACAGCTGCCAGGTTCCAAGGTCAAGCGTCCAAAAAGGGAGAGGGAACCAGCCAGAAGCTGTATCATTTTAAGACCTGACCTTGGAAGTCATTCAGGGTTCCTTCTACCAGCTTCTCTCATTAGAAGTGAGTCACTAAGATGACCTGTATTCAAAGAAAGGGAAATTAGAGCGCCTTGTTAATGGAAGAAATATAAAAAATTTGCAGACATGTTTTCAAAGCACCATTTTCCACTCTCTGGCCATAATTTATTTACATTTCTCCCACTCTCTTACCTCCCCTCAAGATCCCACGTCTTATCTGTTGTGGGATCAGACTCACAATCTTGTCAACTGAGTAGGTCCAAGTGCAGGTCAGGTGAGTGAACTGCTGAAGATGTGAACAAAAGAAACAAATCACCCAGTTCTCCCACTCTAGAAATCCTAAGAGCACTGAGGGAAGGAACTGTATCTCTTTTTAGCCCCCATGGTGCTTAGCACAAAAAATAGTGAAGGTTGTTAAGACATCATCTTGCATTTTTTCTAAAGCAATAAACATAAATAAATAAAACATCTACATCCCTCCTTTCTGTTCCCAAGTACAGAAGTCGCCCCCTCCAATCCATTGTTTCACTTTCCTCAGTTTCTGTTACCTGCAGTTCACCATGATCTGAAAATGTTAAAATATTTTCAGAGATAAAGCAGCTATATTCACATAACTTTTATCAAAGTAGGTTGTTATATTTGTTTTATTATTATTTATTATTTTGAATCTCTTAACTGTGCCTAACTTGTAAATTAAACTTTATTATAGGTATGTATAAGAAAAACAGCATATAGAGAGTTTGGTACTGTCTGCAGTTTGAGGCAACCACTGGGGGTCTAGGAACATCTCCCATTTGGATAAGAGGTAAGTACTGTAATAGAATTCCTTGCCTTTGAAGGTCAGAGGTTGCAACAGTGGACACTGCAGGACCTCAGAGAGTGAGCAAACACTTGTGCTCTGTGCACATTGCAGACATGTTTTCAAAGCACCATTTTCCACTCTCTGGCCACAAATTATTTACATCTCTCCCACTCTCTTACCTCAGTCAGCACTCACAGGGGGAGGGCTTTACAGCTCAACCAGAGAGCACTAAACCCTCTTAACTTTCCAAATGACTGTAGCAATTTCACCTTGCTCCTGGGCCCTGCCCAGCCAAGGTTTCTCTACATTTGGGATTTAAAACCAATTGGAAAATCAAAGTAGTAGCTTTGTATAAGGGGTCCCCAGCTACTCTGTTGGCTACTTTTACAGCCAAATCAATCATGGTTAATAAACTGAGATACTGAGAGGGTGGAGACACTGTCTTCAACTGGAACCTTGTTCTGACTCCATGACCAGGGATGCCTAGGAATAAAAGAAATTAGTCTCCTCCTCTCCCCCACAGTCTTCCATTTCTTGCCCATATTTCCACTAAATGTTTCAGAGTGCCCACACATGCATACTCCTACGAGAGAAGCTTGGGCTGTGTGCTTTTCCCCACCGTGCTATGAAAGTCAGACCATGTGTGCTAAGTACAGGAGCTGAGAAAATCCTATAAACAGAGTCCTAATATAGGGTTAACAACATTCCACCTCTAGGTCAGAAATTTTATGTAGACCAATAAGAAAGCACAGAGAATATGTACATTGATTTACCGTTTACGATTATTGGCTACCATGTATTGGGTGCCCTTGAAGAGCTGGATACTATCCTAAGCATTTTATATATTTTATTCATATTCTTCAGACCTTTGCAATGTAGCTGTGCGGATGTGGGACTTAAAGCATGGAAAAGTTAAATAGCTTGCCTAAATTTTGCACAGCTGGGATGTGAATGCAATCTCTCTTGAGTGCACTTCTCAGCTTGCCATGTAAAATTACTGACATCCATTTGACCTGGTTGTGCCTGTCACCTTTGCAGCCCTCTGTGTAGTATTCCCAACTCTCCATGAAGTTATCAATTTGCTAAAAATAATTTCTGTGGCTGATGGATTTTTAATGTAGCGTGCTGTCTCAGGCCCCTCCCTAGAAGTTTATGGCCAAGAAACTGAGCGGTGGGGAGGCTTTTGGAGCTCCTGCTAATGTTAGCAGACTGTAGGGCTGAGGCTACCACTGGTCTGATTTCTGCCTCTTCTTATTTTTAATGAGGTCAAGGGCATCCACTGGCAAAGGGGAGGGGGCTGTCTCTCCCGACAGTGTCTGGGTACCTGGAGCTCTCTGTTGACCACTCTTGTTTCTTTTGCGTCTCACACACAGCCTGAGGTCAGAGGCAGAGACATTACTCATAACTAATTCTTGTAGCGTACATCATTTAGACTTGGTTACCCCCAAATTAATGAAGAGAGAGGAAAAACCTCTTTGTCTTTCAAATACCACCTGTTCTTCACGTCCAAAAGACCATTTCCTCACTAGATTCTGTGAAGTGGGCCTTGCCTCTAAGGGGGTTGTGGACAGGCAGAGAGAGCAAACTCGACTCTGAGACACAAAGTAGCAGAGGGGGTTGTCCTGTATCTCAGACTGGACACAAAACTGGCTCTAGAGACAGTTTGGACTTGGAATTACCCCAAGAGAGAAATGGTTAGGAGACTCTGGTCATGCAGAACGTAGAGTGGTCTAGTGGGGAAGGCACCAGCTTAGGAGCCTGGAGAGCTGAACTCTAGCTTGGGTTCTGTCAGAAGCTAGCTCCTGGGAAATGTACTTCACCCCTGAGCACCTGTTTTCTCATCTGTGGCATGGGGATGATAATTCTCGTCTCATCTCCTTTGTGAGCACTGTCAGTGTGAAGTCATATATACAACTTGGTTTGTGAAATTGTAATTCAAAGTGCTTTTCTCTGTCTTCTCCATGGCCTGGCTTCTCGGCCCTGTTCCTGGCTCCTCCAGCCCCATCTGCTTCCTGCTTGACATTTTTGTCTATGCAGTCATGTCTGTGCACATCCACATGAGCCATGGACTTGTAATCCTCCTCTTGCCAGCTTGGACACCTGGCCTGCCTGGAAGCTCCAGCCATGCTCCTGCAAGCTTTACTTTAGGGAACTCACATTACTGTCATCTGGAAAGATGGGAAAAGGCAGGAGGCAAATATTGTCACTAAAAATGTGCTACCATTAAAAGATTCTGTGAAAACACAGGGAATTATATAAGATATTTAAGATATATTAAGGCTGGAAGCAGTGGCTCATGCCTGTAATCCTAGCACTTTGGCAGGCTGAGGTGGGCAGATCACCTGAGGTCAGGAGTTCAGAACCAGACTGGCCAACATGGTCAAACCTCATCTCTACTACAAATACAAAAAAATTAGCAGGGCATGGTGGTGGGCACCTGTAATCCCAGCTACTCGGGAGGCTGAGGCAGGAGAATCACTTGAATCTGGAAGGCAGAGGTTGCTGTGAGCCAAGATCATGCCACTGCACTCCAGCCTGTGTGACAGAGCGAGACTCTATCTCAAAAACAAAACAAAACAAAAAAGATATATTAAGATAATAGCAGAATGGAAAATGAATGATAACAGCAGAATGGAAAAGAAAGAACGGTTTAAATATATAGCACTCAGTCACTAAAGACTGAATGAATAAATCAAAGAGAAAAAATTAAACGAACTCTACAAAAGTTCAAAATTTCTGTTCTTAAAAGAGTACCATTAAGAAAATAAAAAGACAAGCTTCAGACTGAAAGAAAATGTTTGCAAAATTATGTATCTTATAGCATATATTTACTATACCATCCAGAAGTTTTCCTAATTATATACTTAAGAGAAATGAAAATATATGTCTACATGAAACTTTGAACATTAATTCTCATTGTAGTGTTATTCATATTAGCCTAAAACTAGAAATAATCTAAATGTTCATTAACAGGTGACTAGATAAACAAAGTGTATAAATCTACATCAATATCAGTATCTATGTGTATATGTCATGGAGTAGCACTCAGCCATCTAAAAGAGGAAAGTGTTGGTACAAATTGCAACCCCTGTATGGATCTTAAAGTAATTACATTGAGTGAAAAACATGCTCAGTAAAAGCAATCTTCATATTCTCATTAATATAAAATTCTACATCTTTCAAACTAATGCCTGTTGACCATCTTGTTGATGGGACAGGGCAGGGATGGCCAGGAGGGACAGAGGGGCACAATGATATTTTCAAGAATGTGTACATGTCAAAACTTATCAAGTTATGAACTTTAAATATTTTTAGCTTATTCTATGTCAATTTTTGCTCAATAAAGCTATTTAAATTATATCTAAACATCAACAGAGAAAGAAAGAATTGGACACCAAAAATATTTAACTTATAAAAGGCAATAAAAAAAGAGCAGAGGAACAAAAATGCATGAGGCACATGGAAAAGAAATAGCAAAATGAAACTTAAACCCAACCCCATCAATAATTACATTAAATGTAAATGTTCTATATGCTCTAATAAAAGACACAAATAAAAAACAAAATCCAACTCTGTGCTGGCAACAAGAGAAGCACTTTAGATTCATGGAAACAAATAGGCTGAGCATAAGAGAGAAAAAGTAATTTTTTTCATGCAAATAATAATTGTGAAAGAGCTGGAGTGACTACATTAATATCAGAGAAAATAGACTCAAAGACTAAAAATATTGCTAATGTCAAAGAGGGTCAGTGATAAAAGTATCAATATACTAGAAATATATAAAAGTTATTAAGGTATATGGGCTTCAAGATGGTTGAGTAGGGGCATTTGGTACTTGCCTTCTCCTTGAAGAATCAAACTAGCAAGTAGATCATCACACTTTGAATCCATCACCGAAGAGAGTGCTGGAATTTAAAAGAGAAGGGACAAGAAATACCTAAGGCAAGGAAGGAGATGGAAGCCAGGTAATCTGTTTGGATGAGATCTGCTGGGTGCTTGGATAGGCTCCCCAGTATGGGGAAAGGGTGAGCAGCCCCCAGTAATCCACATTCCCACTTTGGACTCCTGCACTCCTAGGCAGCAGAAAGCCCCTCAACCCACACAGGCCCTGAGACTAACATAGGAAGCTGCCTAGAGACCACATGACAGCATTGCTCTGGAGTCAGAGCTCACCCTGGATTCCCCCCGCCAACCCCCAAGTGCTAAGCAGCTGCAGCATGGTGCTATTTTGAGAGCCCAACCCCCACTAGACCACACCCTGCTCCAGGGCCCAACAGATCCTGCATCTCCACGCCCTTGGAGCCCCATGGATATCCCTTGTTCATAGCTGGGTGCTGCCACAGGCTATTGCCATCAGAGCTGAAGTGTGAGTCATTGGCAGTGACCCCTTCACCCCCTGTAGTGGGGCTGCTGTGCATTTACAAGTGCTCTGAAGATAGGCTACCCCACTTGCAGCTGCTACTTGGGGCCAAAGTGTGCACTCCCCAGCTACATGTTTACCACTAAAAGCAACCCTGCCTTATATGAATCACTTGACTAATAATTCAAAATGTCCCCAGAAGCAGGTCCACAGAACAGCCACTGCTGCCCCTGCCCAAGCAGTCTGCCAGGGGACTGGGCATCACTCCACCACTGCTTATGACAGTCAGTGCCCATATGCACCATTGTGGGACTTGAGGAAAGGCTTGCCAGCTTAATTCCTCTGTTTCCAGTGCCCAAGCACACTATCCAGGTTCCTGGTTATTGCAGTGCCCCATCTGCCACCATTGGCACCTGAGCACTCCTCCCAGGGCCTAAGGATAGGCCCACCTAGCCTGCTGCTCCCACCACAGCTGGCACCCACTCACACGCACCAACCATGGGCCTCGGGACTGGCCCATCCAGTTTATCACAGCAACTACCAATATCGGTGTGGACAGCATGAAAGCCAGAGGGTTATGCAACTACTGTTACTGCCATTGCCCATGCCACACCTGCAACCAAGGGGACCAAGGACCTAGCCACCCAGCCAGCCCACTGCTGCCACTGTTGCCACTCAAGCAAGCTGCTTAGTGACTCAATAACCTGTCCACCTGTAGCCACTAAAATTGGTGCTGGTGTATGCTGCCCTGGGGCAAAAGGACAGGCACACTCAGCCAGCCACTGTCACCTCAGGGGCTCAAGGACTGGCCCACCTTACGTCTCTGTCCCCAGCAAAACTTTATCATAGCCTCCACTAACAAATGCACTCTAAGCCACTGATAAAATCACAAACACCACTGACACTATTTACAGCCAAAGAAATCATATGAAACCGTACTAGCACATGCACCAGAACCAAATCCAAAGTGCCCCACCAAAACAACACCATAAATACAACTTCAGAAAAATGTCCTCCCCTATGAAAGAAAATTTAAAAAATTGGAAGATGTAACTGTTACAACAAATGTACAGATATCAATGTAAGGACACAAGAAACATGAAAAAGCCAGGAAATATGACATTTTCAAAGAAACAAAATAATTCTCTGAAAACAGATTCCAACATAAAAGAAATTTCTAAACTTCCAGAAAAATAATTCAAAATACTGATATTAAAGAAGTTTAGCTACATACAAGAGAAATTAGATAAATAGTATAAATAAATCAGAAAAACAATTCAAAATATGGATAAGAAATTTACCTAAGGGATAGATATCATAAAAAAGAACCAAACAGAAATTCTGCAACTGAATTCATTGAATGAAATAAAAAATAAATCAGAAAGCTTCAACAACAGACTAGTTCAAGCAGAAGAAAAAATTTCAGAACTTGAAGACAGGTCTTTTGAAATAACTTAGACAAACATAAAGAAAAAATAATTTAAAAAATGAATAAAGCAATTAACATGACATACAGGACACCATAAAGTGACCAAATACGTTAATTTTCTATGTCTCAGAAGACAAAGAATAAAAGAAGGGGGTAGAAGACATATTTAACAAAATAATATATACAAATTTAGCATTCATTTAGCAAGAGATTTACACATCCAGATACAGGAAGCTCAGTGATTCCAAAATAGATAAAATGCAAAAAGTTCTTTTCCATGGAACATTAGAGTAAAACTGTTTAAAGTCAAAGACCAAGAGAGAATTCCAAAAATGGCAAGAGAGAAGTATCTAGTTACTTATAAGGGAACCCTTATCAGATTAACAGTGGATTTCTCAGCAAAAGCCTTATAGACCAGAAAAGAATGGGATGATATATTCATAATGCTGAAAGAATAAAATTTCAGACAAGGATACTATACCCAGCAAAGCTATTCTTCATAAATTAAGGAGAAATAAAGTGTTTCCCAGATAAGCAAAAGTTGAGGGAATTTATCACCACTAGACAAGTACTACAGAAAATGCTTAAGGAAGTCCTACTCCTGTAATCAGAAAGACAATATCTACCATCATAAAAACATGTGAAAGTATAAAACTCACTTGTAGAGAAAACACAGAAATAAAGAAAAGAAAGGACACAGATATTACTACTAAAAAAACCCTACCAAACCACAGTGATAAACAATAAGAGAGAAAGAAAAGAACAGAGGATAAATAAAACAACCAGAAATCAATTAACAAAGTGACAGGAATAAACTCTCACATATCAATAATAGCCTTTAATGTAAAATAATTAAACTTTCCACTAAAAAGGTATAGACTGGCTGAATGGTTAGAAAACATACTCTATGCTTTCTATAAGAAACTCATCTCACTTTATCTCACCTTTAAAGACATATATAGACTGAAAGTAAAGGAATGGAAAAAAATTCATACAAACAAGAACCAAAACCAAGAAAGAATAATATTTATTATATTAGTAATTATTACTAGTAATTATTATATTATTATTAATAATTATTAACATATTATTAATATACTTATTTCAGATAAGACAGACTTTAAGTCAAAAACAGTAGAGAGAGACAAAGAAGATCATTATATAAAATAATGGGATCAACTTAGTAAGAGGATATAATATCCTAAACATATATGCACTGGAGCATGCAGATATATAAAGGAAATATTATTATATCTAAAGAGAGAGGCCGGGTGCACTGGCTCAAGCCTGTAATCCGAGCACTTTGGGAGGCCGAGGCGGGAGGATCACGAGGTTAGGAGATCGAGACCACCCTGGCTAACATGGTGAAACCCTGTCTCTACTAAAAAAATAACAGAAAAAATTATCCGGGCATGCTGGCGGGTGCCTGTAGTCCCAGCTCTCCGGAGGCTGAGGCAGCAGAATGGCGTGAACCCAGGAGGCGGAGCTTGCAGTGAGCTGAGATGTGCCACTGCACTCCAGCCTGGGCGACAGAGCCAGACTCGGTCTCAAAAAAAAAAAAAAAAGAAAAAAAGAGAGAGAGAGAGAGAGAAATAGACTCCAATACAAAAAGACTTGAGGACTTCAATACCCTACTCTCAGCATTAGATGATAATCTAGACAGAAATTTAATGAAGAAGTAGATTTAAACTGTACTTTAGAGTAAATAAACCCAATAGACTTTTATAGAACATTTCATCCAACAGCTGCAGACTATGCATTATCATCAGCACATGGAACATTCTCTAGGATAGACCATGTGTTAGAACACAAAACAGGCCTCAACCATTTTTTTAAAAATTGAAATTATATCAAATACCTTCTCAGAGCCCCATTGAAACAAGAAATCAATAACGGGAGAAACTTTGAAAACTGTACGAATACATGTAAATTTAAAAACATGCTCTTGAATGACAGTTGGATCAATCAAGAAATAAAGGAGGCAATCAAAAAATTTCTTGAAACAAATGAAAACAAAAACCAACATATCAAAACCTATGGGATACAGCAAAAGCACTGCTAAGAGGGAAGCTTATAGCAATAAACTCCTACATCAAAAAAGCAGAAAAATTTAAAATAATTTATCCAATGATATGCCTCAATGAAGTAGAAAAGCAAGAACAAATCAAACCAAAAATTAGTAGAAGGAAAGAAATAATAAAAATTAGAGCAGAACTAAACAAAGCAGAGGCAAAAAATACAAATAATCCATTGAAAAAAATTTTTATCAAAAAGACAAAATTAATAAACACTAGACTAACCACAAAAAAGAGAGAAGACCCACATAAATAAAATCAGAAGCAAAAAAGGAGACATTACAACTGATACCACAGAAATACAAAAGATCATTAGAGACTATTATGAAAATTATACACTAAAAAACTGGAAAACATGGAGGAACTTGATAAATTCCTGGATACATATAACCTACCAAGATTGAATCAGAAAAAAATAAAAAACCTGAACAGACCGGTTGAATCTGTAGCAAAATGTTTCCCAATAAGGAAAAGTCAGGACTGGATTGCTTCATTGCTGGATTCTACTGAACTTACAATGAAGAGTAAACATCAATTCTCTTTAAAGTATTACAAAAAATTGAAGAGAACAGAATTCTCCCTACCTCCTTCTACGAGACCATCATTACCCTGATACCAAATCAGACAAGGATGCAGTAATAGAAGAAAACTACAGGCCAATACCCCTGATAAACAGAGGCAAAAATCCTCAACAAAATACTAACAAACCGATTTTAACAGCATATCAAAAAGATAATACACCATGATCAAGTGGGATTTATCCCAAAGATGCAAGGATAGTTTAATATATACAAATATATATAAATATAATACATCACATCAACAGAATAAAAGACAAAAACAATATAATCATTTCAGTAAATGCAATAAAGGCATTCAATAAAATTCAACACCGTTTATGATAAAAACTCTCAAAAAACTAGACATAGAAAAAAACACAAAACTTAATAAAGGCCATATATGACAAACACATAGCTAACATTATTTTGAATGGGGGAAATGCTGAAAACCTTTCTTCTAAAAACTAAAATGAGACACAAGTGACATGGTTTGGCTGTGTCCACATCCAAATTTCATCTTGAATTGTAGTTTCCATAATCCCCACATGTCATGGGAGGGGCCCAGTGGGAGGTAATTTAATCATAGGGGCAGTTACCCTCATGCTGTTCTTATGATAGTGAGTTCTCACAAGATCTGATGGTTTTATAAGGGGCTCTTCCCCCTTTTGCTTGGCACTTTTCTTGCCTGTTGCAATGTAAGATATGTCTTTGCATCTCCTTTGCCTTCTGCCATGATTGTGAGGCCTCCCCAGCCATAAGGAACTGGCAGTTCCCCTGCACATCCTCTCTTGCCTGCCACCATGTAAGACTTGCCTTTGCTCCTCCTTCACCTTCCACCATGATTGTGAGGTCTCCCCAGCCATGTGGAAGTGAGTCCATTAAACCTCTTTTTCTCAGGTATTCCTTCATAGCAGTATGAAAATGGACTAATACAACAAGTATGCCCACTTTCACCACTCCTATGTTGAATAGAAGCTGTTCTACATAGCACATGCTGTAGTGTTGAAAATGCTAGCCAGAACAATAAAGCAAGAGAAAGAAATAAAAGTCTTTCAGATTGGAAAAAGAGAAAGTCAAATTGTCCATCTGCAGATGACGTTATCTTAAATTTAGAAAAACCTAAAGATGCCACCAGAAGGCCCTTAGATCTGATAATTACACTCAGTAAAGTTGCAGGATACAAAATCAATATACAAAAATTAGTAGTGTTTTTATACACCAATAATGAACTAGCTGAGAAATATATCAAGAAGCAACTTTCATTTATATAGGTACAGAAATTAAAATATGTAGGAATAAATTTAACAAGGAGGTGAAGGCCTCTACAAGGGAAACAAAACTAACACTAATGAAAGAAGTTGAGGAGGATGCAAACAAATACATTCCATTTGTTTGTATCCTCCTTAACTTCTTTCATTAGTTTTAGTTTGTGTTCCATACTCATGGTTTGGAAAAATTAACATCTTTAAAATGATAGTACCTGTATTAGGGTTCTCTAGAGGGACAGAACCAATGGAATGAATGAGTATATATGTATATATGAGTTTATTAAGTATTAACTTACGTGATCATAAGGTCCCAGAATGGGCTGTATGTAGGCTGTAAAGCAAGGAGAGCCAGTCTGAGTTCCAAAACTGAAGAACCTGGAGTCCAATGTTTGAGGGCAGGAAGCATCCAGCATGGGAGAAAGATGTAGGCTGGGAGGCTAGACCAGTCTCTCTCTTCACATTTTTCTGCCTGCTTATATTCTAGCTGTGCTGGCAGCTGATTAGATTGTGCATACCCAGATTAAAGATGGATCTACCTTTCCCAGCCCACTGACTCAAATGTTAATCTCCTTTGGCAACATCCTCACAGATACACCCAGGATCAATACTTTGTATCCTTCAATCCAGTCAAGTTGACAATCAGTATTAACATCACAATACTCAAGGAAATCTATGGATTTAATGCAATCTGTAGCAAAATACCAATATCATTTTTCACTGTAATAGAAAAAGTAATCCCAGAGTTTATATAAAACAATTAAAAAGCCCAAGTAGCCAAGCAATGTTGAGCAAAAAGAACAAAGCTGAAAGCATCACATTACCTGACTTCAAAATATATTATAAGCCTATAGTAACTAAAATGGCATGGTATTGGTGTAAAAATGGACACATGACCAATGGAGTAGAATACAGAATTCATGTATTTACAGCAAAATTTTGACAAAGGCATCAAGGATATACACTGAGGAAAGGACATCATCTTCAACAAACAGTGCTGGGAAAATTAGATATCCATATGCAGAAGAATGAAATCGGACCCCTATCTCTCACCATATATAAAAAAATTAACATGAGATGGATTCAAGACTGAAATGGAAGACCCGAAGCTGTAAAAATAATATGGAAAACTCTTCTGGACATTAGTCTAGGCAAATAATTCATGACTAAGACCTCAAAAGCACAGGCAGCAAAAACAAAAGTAGACAAATGGGAGCTAATTAAAGTAAAAAGCTTCTACACAGCAAGGGAAACAGTCAACAGGGTGAAGAGACAACCTATTGAGCTGGAGAAAATGTTTGCCAATTATTCATTTGATAAGGGAATAATATCCAGAATAGACAAAGAACTCAACAACTCAACACTAAAAACACACATAATCACATTAAAAAGTAGGCAAAGGCCATGAGTAGACATTCTCAAAAGAAGACATAAAAATGGACAACAGGTATATGAAAAATGCTCACATCACTAATGATCGGAGAAATGTAAATAAAAACCACAATAAGATATCATTTTATCTCAGTTAGAATGACTATTATTAAAAAGACAAAAATAACAGGAAATGGCATGGATGCAAAGTAAAGGGAACTCTTATATACCATTGGTGGGAAGGTAAATTACTACAGCCACTATGGAAAACAGTATGGAGATTTTTTTTTTGAACACTTAGAACTACCAAAATATCCATCAATCTCACTACTGGGTATTAATCCTGTGAAAAAGAAATCAGCCTATCAAAATATCCCTGCACCCTCATGTTTATTGCAGCACTATTCACAATAGCAATGATATAGAATCAACCTAAGTGTTCAACACTAGACAAATGGATAAAGAAAATATTATATATATATTATATATGTTATATATTATATACATTCTATATTTATATATATTATATATTTTTATGTATAATATATTATATATATTATGTATATTATATATATATATGCAATGGCCATACAAAAATGAAATCATGTAATTTGCAGCAACATGGATGAAACAGGAGGTCATTATGTCAAGTGAAATAAGCTAGGCAAAGAAAGACAAGTATTGCCTATGCTCACTCATATGTGGGAGCTAAAAATGTTGATAGCACTGAGTTGGAGAGTAGAATGATAGTTTTCAGAGGCTGGGAATGTAGAAGGGTGGGATGAAGAGATGTTTGCTAATGGGTGCAAACATACAGTTAAATAGAAGGAATACATTCTAATGTTTAATAGCAGAGTAGGTGAATATAGCTAACAACAATGTATTGCATATTTTAAAATAGCTAGAAGAGAGGACTTGAAATGGTCCCAACACATAGAAATAATAAATACTTGAGGTAATGGAGGCCCTACATACCCTGACTTGAGCATTACATGCTATACATGTAACAAAATATTACATGTACCCCACAAATATGAACCAATATGTCAATAATAATATTTTTAAAATAAAAAATTAAGGTATAAACATCTAACAACAAAGTTCTAAAATACATGAAGTAAAAACTGACAGATAGGAAAAGAAATGCAGACAAACAATTTAAGTTGGAGATTGGATACTCCAAATTTTCACATTCAGTAATGCATAAAACAACTAGACAAATAATTAATAAGGACATAGAAGGCTTGAACAACACTGTCAGTCAACTTGACTTAATACTAACATGGAGCTTCTTGAGGATATACTCTATTCACTGTTCTAGACGATAAAAAATCTCTCAAAAACTTTAGTAAAAACCATACAGGGTATGCTTTCTAGCCACAAGATAATTTAAAAATCAATAACAAAAATAAATTTGAAATATCCCCAAATATTTGAAAATTTAAAAACACGCAGGCTTTGTTTAAATTTTTTAAATCAACTTTTAAGTTTCGTTACATGTGCAGGATGTGCAGGCTTGTTACACAGATAAACGTGTACCATGGTGGTTTGCTGCACAGATCAACCAATCGCCTACATATTAAGCCCAAGACCCATTAGCTGTTCTTCCTCATGCTCTCGCTTCCTGTATGCCACTGACAGGCCCCAGTGTGTGTTGTTCCTCTCCCTATGTCCATATGTTCTCATTGTTCAGCTCCCACTTGTAAGTGAGAACATGTAGTGTTTGGTTTTCTGTTCCTGCATTAGTTTGCTAAGGATAATGGCTTCCAGCTCCATCCACATCCTGAAAAGGCCATGATCTCATTCGTTTTCATGGCTGCATAGTATTTCATGGTGTATATGTACCACATTTTCTTTATCCAGTCTATCATTGATGGGCATTTGGGTTGATTCCATGTCTTTGCTATTGTGAATAGTGCTGCAAAAACATATGTGTGCATGTATCTTTATAATAAAAGAATTTATATTCCTTTGAGTATATACCCAGTAATGGGATTGCTAGGTTAAATAGTATTTGTGCTTCTAGATCTTTGAGGAATCTCCACACTGTCTTCCATAATGATTGAACTAATTTATATTCCCAACAATGGTGTAAAAGTTTTCCTTTCTCTCTACAACCTCACCAGCATCTGTTGTTTCTTGAATTTTTAATAATCACCATTCTGACTGGTATAAAATGGTATCTCATTGTTGTTTTTATTTGCATTTCTCTAATGATCAGGGATGTTGAGCTTTTTTTCATATGTTTGTTGGCTACATGAATGTGTTCTTTCAAGAAGTGTCTGTTCATGTCCTTGGACCATTTTTTAATAAGGGTGTTTTTTTTTTCTTGTAAATTTGTTTAAGTTACTAGTAGATTCTAGATATTAGACCTTTGTCAGATGGATAGATTGCAAAAAATTTCTCCCTTTCTGTAGGTTGTCTGTTCGCTCTGATGATAGTTTCTTTTGCTGTGCAGAAGAAGCTCTTTAGTTTAATTAGGTCCCATTTGTCAACTTTTGCTTTTGTTGTAATTGCTTTTGGTATTTTGTCATAAAATCTTTGCCTGTGCCTGTGGTCCTGAATGGTGTTGTCTAGATTTTCTTCTGGGGTTTGTATAGTTTCGGGTTTTACGCTTTAGTCTTTAATCCATCTTGAGTTAATTTTTGTATAAGATGTAAGAAAGAGGTCCAGTTTCAATTTTCTGCATATGGCTAACCAGTTTATTGAATAGGGAATCCATTCTCCATTGCTTGTTTTTGTCAGGTTTGTCGAAGATCAGATGGTTGTAGATGTGTGGTCTTATTTATGAGTTCTCTATTCTGCTCCACTGGTCTTCGGGTCTGTTTTTGTACCAGTACCATGCTGTTTCGGTTACTGTAGCCTTGTAGAGTGTAAAGTCAGGTAGCGTGACGCCTCCAGCTTTCTTCTTTTTGCTTAGGTTGTCTTAGCTGTATAGGCTCTATTTTGGTTCCCTATGAATTTTAAAATCGTTTTTTCTAATTCTGTGAAGAATGTCAATGGTAGTTTAAAGGGAATAGCATTGAATCTATAAATTACTTAGGGCAGTACGGCCATTTTCATGACATTGACTCTTCCTATTCATGAGCATGGAATGTTTTTCCATTTGTTTGTGTCCTCTCTGATTTCCTTGAGCAGTGGTTTGTAGTTCTCCTTGAAGAGGTCCTTCCCTTCCCTTGTTAGCTGTATTCCTGGGTATTTTATTCTCTTTGTAGCAATTATGAATAGTAGTTCATTCATGATTTGGCTCTCTGCATGCCTGTTGGTGTATAGGAATGCTAGTGATGTTTGCACATTGATTTTGTATCCTGAAACTTTGTTGAAGTTGCTTATCAGCTTAAGAAGCTTTTGGGCTGAGACAATGGGGTTTTCTACATATAGGATCATGTACCTGCAAACAAAGATAATTTGACTTCCTCTCTTCCTATTTAAATACCCTTTATTTCTTTCTTTTACCTGATTGCCCTGGCCAGAACTTCCAATACTATGTTGAATATATGATAAACCCACAGCCAATATTGTACTGAATGGGCAAAAGCTGAAAGCATTCCCCTTGGAAACTGACACAAAGCAAGGATGCCCTCTCTCACCACTCCAATTCACACTTTCAAATAATATATTAGTCAAGAAAAAACCAGAAAACTAGAAAATTAGTTGAATGAAAATAAAAACAAACATTTCAAAATGTCTTGTGTGTTAGTTTTCAATGTATTGCATAGGAGCTCACAGCCATCTTTGTTGAGCTCTGTGATAATGGAGGTGGGCTTTGTTACTATTTCACCACTGCCAGTTGGCCAATGTTAAGGTTGTCAGTAAAGGATGCTGGGGAGACATGGCTCTTATATTTCTTTTTCCAGTATGTCCCATTTGCTAGTATCCTGCAAAGAAGATTTTATCTAGTTCTAGAGCCCTGAACACTTGATGTTTTTCTTGTGGTACACTGCTGCAGGGTGCAGTTTTCTCTAGGATTCAGCTTTTACAAAGCTTGTTGTTTTCCTGTGCTAAACTCCTCCAGGGTAAAGTTTCCTCCATATCTAGTTCTGCAGGGTCTGATTTTTCCTACATCTGACTCCTTCAGAAGATTACTTCCCCAGGTTCTAGTTTCAGATTCTGTGGTGGCCAGAAGCTTCCAACAGCCAACAACTTCTACTAGCATCTCCTCCAGATGATTTACAGTGGAGTTCCACCAGCAAGACATCTACCAATAAATAGCCTCTCTTAGAACTCTATCAATAGACTGCAAGCTCTAATGTGCTGAACATCCCTGTAGGTGGCTTTCTCTGGCAACCCAAATGACATATTTAAGCAAGTAATCTCAGCAGCTTCTCATTCATCCAGTAAGCTTTGCGTTTGCCCTTTCCAATAAGGTCTTGATTATAGCTTGGAGTGCGTGTGAGATGTTTTTCAGGTGTTCTATCTCAGTCCTATGGTTGATCTTTAATCCATTATTTCTGTATTATTTGAAGTCCTCTTTTATGCTTTTAGCAAGACCTACTAAAAACAGAAGAAAGATACAAATTACTAAAATGAGTAATAAGATAGCAATGTCTCTCAGACTGCAGAAATTAACAGGATATTAGGGGATTATGATGAGTAACTTTATGCAAAAACACTTAAAAATTTAGATGAAATGGACAATTTCATGAAAAGACACAAGTAATCAAAACTGACTTAAGGAGAAATAGAAAACTCAAATAGACCTGTAACAAGTAAATAAATTGCATCAGTAATTTCAAACTACTTCATAAAGAAAAGTCCAACTTTGGAGGGCTTCATTTATTATTTCTATTGGACAACTCTGGAATAAATAATATCAATCGTACAAAGACCTTTCAAAAACTAAGGGAGGAAACACTTCCTAGCTATTTCTATGAGGCCAGTGTTGCACTGATACCAAGCCAGACAAACATCTCAAGAAAATAAAATGTTATTTCAGTATCCTTTATGGACGTAGACACAAAAATCTCTAATAAAATATTAACAAATCAAATCTGGCAGTATCAGAATAAGATTATACATTATGACCTTGTGTAATATATTCTCAGAATGCAAGTTTCATTAACATTTGAAAGTCAATTAATGCAACACACCAAATTATCAAATAATTATTTCAGAGACATAGAACAAACATTTGATACAATTCAACATTCATTTATGATTTTAAAACACATACAAGTTCTCATCAATGTAGAAATGGAAGAGAATTTAGCCTGAAAAAGGGCATCTGTGGAAAAAAAGAAAAAAATGTCAGTTAATATCACACATGATGTTGAAAGACTTGGTGTTGTCCCCTTACTAGGAGATGCGGACAATTCTGTACTGGGCTGGTGCAAGAAGTTCCAAGGCAATTATAATAATTAAAGTCATAATATTGTCTTTGAAATAATCTAGACAAATAATCTTTGTAGATGAAATAATCTTGTTTGCAGAAAATCCAATGCAATCTGCAAAAAAGATCTGATATGCACATTTAGCAAGGTTGTAGGATGCAAGATCAATATATTGAATTAATTACATTTTTATAGGCTAGCAACACACAGCCAAATAATGCAAATAAGGAAAAAATTCCATTTACAATAGCATCAAAAATAAAATTGTGAGGTAAGAACTGAACACTGAAACTAAAAAACACTGTTGAGAGAAAATAAAAATACAAATAAATGGAGAGATGATTGCGTTCAAAGATTGAAAGACTCAATTTGTTAATGAACATTTTTCCAATATTGTCCTATAGACTCAGTGCAATTGTTATCAAATTTCTTTTAGTTGTTTTTGTGGAAACTGACAAGCTTATCTTAAAATTTGTATCAAAATACAATGACCTGGGGTGGCCAAAATAATTTTGTAAACAAGCAGTGTTAGGGCCTCCACAACATGATATTAATAAAGCTACAGTTATTACAGAAAAAAGCTGCAGTTATTAAGACATGTAGCATTGGTGCAAAAATACACACAGAGATCAATAGAACAAAATGATAAGTCTAGAAGTAAGTTCTCATCTTTTTGGGTAATTGACTTTTGACAATGATGCATTCATTATTCAATGCATAAAAAATAGAAGATATTTTCAATGAATGCAATTGTACCTCCATATACAAAAAAAAAAAAAATCAGAAAGCAAAGAAGGAAGGAAGGAAGGAAGAAAGGAAAAAGAAGGAAATAACTGAGTCCCCTAGCTCACACAAAACATTCACCAACTGATTCTATACTTCTTAACTTTGTCTAGAGTACTTCTATCTGCACCGCAGCCTCCTTAGAAGATATTATTTCTCACTTGCATAAATCTGAGTTCCCCCATATAATCAGTCTATGCTTCCCTAAAAACATTCTGAAATTGTTGTCAGAGTGAACTTTCTGAAAACTAAATAAGATGTTTTAAGCCAGTTAAGAGCATACCAATGGTCTTTGAACAAAGAAAGAAAGAAAGAAAGAAAGAAAGAAAGAAAGAAAGAAAGAAAGAAAGAAAGAAAAAAACCCTTAACATAGCCAATAAACTCAACATAATATGGCCCCTATATTTTCCCCTATCTAATATATTTTTTTCAAATTTTCTAGCACTCTCCTCAAACCAAAAGAAGGCCAGTGTGGTTCCTCAAACTCACTATGCTTCCTCTTCTTACAGAGCCTTTGCATATACTGCCTGGAATATTCTCTCTCCCATTCTTAATTTACTTCAACTCATTATTTCATTTTAGAATCCAGTGCCGTTTCTCAAGGAAGTTTTCTTTCTCTTGTTCCCATAGCACCATGTATCTCTTGTATTTCCTGTATAGCATTTTCACATTAGTAATTTTCCAATTTTAATAATGTTTCTCTTCTGTGCTAGACATAAGCAGACAGACTCTATTTTCGTTCACCATTTTATCCCACTACTTAGCACAGTGTTTGACAGTTAGAACATCTTCAAAAAATATTTTCTGAATAAATAAGTGGCTAAATAAATGGAAAATTCTCAGATTGATGCATACTAGAAACAAATATAAAACTAAACAACCCTTTTGTACTAACTCTGTAAGTGCAAGAATTGAGGTTCAGTCAACTTCAGAGCACTCTTCTTTTCTATCTCACCTGGTAGTGGTAGAGACATTTGGTGTCTTGGGTTTCATCTAAAATGCCCCATGATAGCTAAGCAATGCCAAGCACACAGAAGGCCCTCGACGAACAACTGTTGAATTACGTGGTGCATTGATTATATTTGTTCTTTGTAACCAGATTCGGTTTTAGGATTCCATTCTTCCTTAAGAAAGACTAATGATGACATCGGAAATAGGGACCTCTGCAGTATGACCTGAAGGCTCAATGCCTTTTAATCAACTGGAGTCAGTTGATTCCAATGATGACACCAATCCGTCCTTCCTAATTCAAAAGAACCTGTAGACATGTGCTTGATGAGAACACTATACCCACTTCGGCTCTGTTTTCCTTTGATTAATATTAGGTGTGTCATCAAGTACATGCCTCATCCCCTGTTGGAGGAGATGGCGTCTTGTTAGCAGGGCTTTTTCCTTGTGCCATCCTGTGTTTGAAAAAGGCTTTTTCAATTGCAACAAAAGCAAAAATTGACAATGGGATCTAATTAAACTAAAGAGCTTCTGCACAGCAAAAGAAACTATCATCAGAGTGAACAGACATCCAAATTCTTTGGAGATGTTTTTTCCCCCCTTCATCTTCATATCAAACACCTCTCTAGTTGCCTTTGCTCATTCGATCTGATCTGTAACAGGTAGTAGGGATCAACTAAATCACAGTTTTTCAAACTATGAGATACTATTCATTAGTGGGTTGTGAAATCAATTCATAGTTCCCCATAAGATTTTTAAAATATGAAATAGAATAGTGAAGACTAGAGAGCATTAGAAAACAAGGTGATTAGTAAGAGTAAGTCTTGTATCATGTGCATGTGTGTCTGTGTCGTGTATGTGTGTATGCACATGTGCATGAGGTCACAGTATAAAATGCATATCTTTACTCAGGTCAATAGGCATATGTATATATGTATGTATTTTCTTCCCTCCCTAACTGCTATTTGAGGATGTTTAGTTAATGTGTTTAATTAGTTATATCCATTTCAAGTAATTAAAATCAGTTAAAATCAGAGGAATCTTTAAGTAGTAACCCAAAGGCTGAGTTGACTGTGTTGTCGCATGTTTAAAAGTCATATGGTAAATCCCTTCTCTCAGCATAACTGTGATGGTTGCCGGAGCTGTGGGCCAAGTCTTGCAGAAGTGTCCACCACATCATAGTACAGCGTAGGCACAGGATGGAAACTTCTTCGATTATCCTCAGTGATAGGGTCTGGCTCTATGTCCCCATCCAAATATCATCTTGAATTGTGATCCGAATTGTAATCCCCACGTGTTGTGGGAAGGAACTTGCAGGAGGTGATTAGATCACTATGGGGGGTCCCCCCATGCTGTTCTAGTGATAGTGAGTGAGTTCTCATGAGATCTGATGGTTTTATAAGGGGTTTTCTCCCCTTCACTGTGCATTTCTCCTTCCTGCTGCCCTGTGAAGAAGAATATGTTTGCTTTCCCTTCTGCCATGATTGTAAAGTTTCCTGAGGCCTCCCCAGCCCTGCAGAACTGTGAGTCAGTTAAACCTCTTTCCTTTATAAATTACCCAGTCTTGGGTAATTCCTTATTAGCAGTATGAGAATGGACTAATACAGTAAATTGGTACCAGGTAGTGGTGTGCAGCTGTAAAGATAGCCAAAAATGTGAAAGTGACTTTGGAACTGGGTAACAGGAAGAGGTTGGAACAGTTTGGAGGGCTCAGGAGAAGACAGGAAGATGTGGAAAAATTTGATATTCCCTAGAGACTTACTGAATGGCTTTGACCAAAATGCTGATCATGATATGGACAATGAAGTCCAGGCTGAGTTGGTCTCAGATGGAGATGAGGAACTTGTTGGGAATGGAAATGAAGGTGACTCTTGCTATGCTTTAGCAAAGGGACTGGTGGCATTTTGCCCCTGCCCTAGAGATCTGTAGGACTTTGAACTTGAGAGAGAAGATTTAGGGTATCTGGTGAAAGAAATTTCTAAGTGGCAAAGTGTTCAAGAGGAAGCAGAGCATAAATGTTTAGAAAATTTGCAGCCTGGGCCAGGTGCGGTAGCTCACGCCTGTAATCCCAGCACTTTGGGAGGCCAAGGGAGGCGGATCATGAGGTCAGGAGATCAAGACCATCCTGGCCAACACGGTGAAACCGTGTCTCTACTAAAAATACAAAAATTAGCTGGGTGTGGTGGTGCATGCCTGTAATCCCAGCTACTCAGGAGGCTGAGGAAGGAGAATCATTTAAACTAGGGAGTCAGATGTTGCAGTGAGGCAAGATCACACCACTGCACTCCAGCAAGGTCAAAGAGCAAGTCTCCATCTGATAAAAAAAAAAAAAGACAGAAAAAAAGAGAAGAAAATTTGCAGCCTGACTATGCAATAGAAAAGAAGAACCCGTTTTCTGGGGAGAAAGTCAAGCCTGCTGTAGAAATTTGCATAAGTAACCAAAAGCCTAATATTAATCACCTAAACAATGAGGAAAATGCCTCCAGGGCATGTCAGAGACCTACACAGCAGCCCCTCCTATCACAGGCACAGAGGGCTGAGGGAAAAATGGTTTCATGGGCTGGGATCAGGGTCCCCCTGCTCTATGCAGCCTCAGGACATGGTGCCCTGTGTCCCAGATGCTTCAGCTCCAACCATGGTTAAAAAGGGCCATGGTACAGCTGAGGCCATTACTTTGGAGGGTGCAAGCCCCAACCCTTGGTGGCTTAAATGTGGTGTTGGGCCTGTGGGTGCACAGAATTCAAGAACTGAGGTTGGGGAACCTCCACCTAGATTTCAGAGGATGTATGCAAATGCCTGGATATCCAGGCAGACGCCTGCTGCAGGGGTGGAGCCTGCATGGAGAACCTCTGTTAGGGCAGTGTGGAAGGAA
This sequence comes from Homo sapiens, assembly GCF_000001405.40. NCBI lineage: Eukaryota > Metazoa > Chordata > Mammalia > Primates > Hominidae > Homo > Homo sapiens. The sequence continues at coordinate 153,495,310 of NC_000007.14, forward strand.
AATGCAGCATGGGAGCCCCCAAACAGAGTCCCCACTGGGGCACTGCCTAGTAGAACTGTGAGAAGAGGGCCATCATCCTCCAGACCCCAGAATGGTAGATCCACTGACAGCTTGCACCGTGCACCTGGAAAAGCCACAGACACTCAATGCCAGCCCATGAAAGCAGCTGGGAGGGGTGCTGTCCCCTGAAAAGCCACAAGGATGGAGCGGCCCAAAGCCATGGGAGCCCACTTCTTACATCAGCATGACCTGGATGTGAGACATGGAGCCAAAGGAGATCACTTTGGAGTTTTAAGGTTTAATGACTGCCCTATTGTATTTTGGACTTTCATGGGGCATATAGCCCCTTTGTTTTGACCAATTTCTTCCATTTGGAATGGGTGTATTTACCCCATTCCTGAACCACGATTGTATCTAGGAAGTAACTAACTTGCTTTTGATTTTACAGGCTCATAGGCAGAAAGGACTTGCCTTGTCTCAGATAAGACTATGGACTTGGAATTTGGGTTAATGCTGAAATGAGTTAAGACTTTAGGGAACTGTTGGGAAGTCATAGTTGTGTTTTGAAATATGAGAAATATGAGATTAGGGCAGGGCCAGGAGCAGAATGATGTGGTCTGGCTCTGTGTCCCAACCCAATCTCATCTTGAATTGTAATACTAATTATAATCCCATGTGTTGGGGAAGTGACCTCCTGGGAGGTGATTAGATCACGGGGGCAGTCCCCCCATGCTGTTCTCATGATAGTAAGTTCTCATGAGATCTAATGGTTTTATAAGGGGTTTTCCCCACTTTGCTCTGAACTTCTCCTTGCTGCTGCCCTTCACACAAGAGGGACGTGTTTGCTTTCCTTTCTGCCATGTTCATAAGTCTCCTGAGGCCACCCCAGCCCTGTGGAACTATGAGTCAATTAAAACTCTTTCCTTTATAAATTATCTAATCTCAGGTATGTCTTTATTAGCAGTGTGAGAATGTACTAATACACTCAGCATGCTTGAAATCATTCATAATTTTTAAAATGCAAATGGTATTCCTTCCAGGCACTGTGAGGGGCCATGCTAGGACATATTGTATGAGAATCTGCCCTGTGCGTCTCTGAGTTCACCACATCAACATTCCTTCCATTTCCAAGCACTCTCATTTCTGGCGCCCTGCATCTGCCTCATCTCTGTGTTTCTAAGAATTGAAACACTGGTTAATTGGAAGCAGCTTCACCAGCAGCAGGAACAGATCTAGAAACTGATAGAAAGTTGCAGTCCAGCTTTTTAAAATATCTTCTGGTGCCAAAGGACATGCCAGGAAGCAGAGGAAACCAAGAATTATTGGGCAGAGGCCCTTGCACTGAAAACTGCTAGAGTGATTAGTAGCTTGGACCTTGCTTGTATATCTGATGCTCCTTGACCTTGGCTAATTATAACCATGGGCTTTTGAGTGATTTCAGACAAAAAATGAATATCAAAAGGCAATAAAAAGAATCGTTTCTGAAATCACCACTGCTCCTTCATTCCATAGAAATCAGAGGGAATTTATATTTCTGGGGTGAGCTGATCAGCATTGGTGGCAAGTGATGGGCTGGTGACCTTGGAGAGCAGAGGAGCTGTGGAGGGGCACAGGTAGGCATACTTCACTCTCCTAGAAACACTCCATGTAGCTCAGATCATGTCTTTGCCAGGGGACCAGACCCTCATTTAAATGGCTTGTCCAAAGTAGAATCAGGCTGCTTTAAAAAAAATTGGTACAGATGTTGGACCCCACTGGCGATCATCTGGAGTCAGAGTGTGTTTTCTGTGGATTCCTTTGCATGTTAAGCTTCAGGTCAGGGAAAAAGCAGCAGTCAGTTAGAGGGTGTCCTTAAGTTGACATGACTGACTCTGAATGGGGCTAATTGAATCCATTCTCCAGGGGACAAGCTAGGGACCTTGAAGATGGCTTAGTCTCATGAATTTGATGGAGATCTCTAAAGGGTGCAAGTTTCTAAAGGCACCAGAAGAGGTGTAAGGTGTTGCCTCAGTTCATTGGGGCTGCTATCACAAAATACCATAGACTGCATGGCTAATAAACAACAGAAATTTATTTCTTAAATTTCTGGAGGCTGGGAAGTCCAAGATCAGGCATATTTGGTGTGTGGTGAGGGCCCACTTTCTGGTTCATAGATGGTGCCTTCTCACTACATCCTCACTCAATTGAAAGGGCAAACAGCTCTCCCACGTCTCTTTTATCAGGGCACCAATCTCATTCACAAGGACTCCACCCTCATGGCCTAAGCACCTCCTGAAGGCCCCATCTAACCTCATCACCCGAGGGCTTCGGATTTCAACATATGAATTTCAGGGGGACACCCGTATTCAGACAACAGTAAGTGTGATGAGGCTCACTAGACTGAACTCCAGAACAACCTCCGTCCTTACCCCATAACAGAACCCTGCAGAAGGCACTGAAAAGATCTTTTGAATATTCAGCTTCTTCGACTGTGAGGTGAATAGTGGGTAGATGAAAGGGGTCTGTGCTATAAATGGTGAGATGTTCTTTCCTACTTCCCAGGGATTTTAAGTGGTGTAGATGAGGAGGCACATGGGCACACCTCACTGTATTGAGCCTCGCTGTACTGCACTTCACAAATGCTGCAATTTTACACATTGGAGGTTTGTGGCAACGCTGCATGGAGCAAGTCTACTGGAGCCACTTTTCCAACAGTGTGTGCTCATTTCATGTCTGTGTGTCACAATTAGGTAATTCTCACAATATTTCAGACCTTTTCATTATTATTATATCTGTTATGGGGATCTGCAATCAGTCACTCTTGAAGTTACTATTGTGATTCTTTTGAGGCTTCACATGCCGTGCCAATATATGATGGCAAACGTAATCCATAAATGCTGTGTATGTTCTCACTGCTCCACTGACCAGCCATTTCCTGTCTCTCTTCCTCTCCTTGGGCCTCCCTGTTCCCTGAGACACAATAATATTGAAATTAGGGCAATTAATAACCCTCCAGTGGTCACTAAGTGTTCCAAGTAAAAGGAAGAGTCACATATCTCACTTTAAATCAAAAGCTAGGATGATAAAGCTTAGTGAGGAAGGCAAGTAGAAAGCTGAGATGGACCAAAAGCTAGGATGATAAAGCTTAGTGAGGAAGGCATGTAGAAAGCTGAGATGGACCAAAAGCTAGATCTCTTGCAGCAAACAGCTAGCCAAGTTGTGAATGCAAAGGAATATGTCTTGAAGGGAATTTAAAAAGTGCTACTCCAGTGAACACACGAGTGATGAGAAAGTGAAATAGCTTTCTTGCTGATAGGGAGACAATTTTAGTGTCTAGATAAAAGATCAAACTAGCCATAACATCCTCTTAAGCCAAAACTTAATCTAGAACAAATCCCTAACTCTCTTCAATTCTGTGGAGGCTGAGAGAGGTGAGGGGGGTGTAGAAGAAAAGTTGGAAGGTAACATAGGGTTGGTTCATGAGGTTTAAGGAAAAAAGCCATCTCCAGAACATAAAAGTGGAAGGTGAGGCAGCAAGTGCTGATGGAGCAGCTGCAGCAAGTTATCCAGAAGATCTAGCTACAATCACTGATGAAGGTGGCTGCACTAAACAATACATTTTGAATGTCAATAAAACAGCCTTCTACTGGAAAAATATGCTGTCTAGAACTTTCCTAGCTAGAGAGAAGTCAAGGCCTGGCTTCAAAGCTTTAAAAGGCAGGCGGACTCTCTTGTCAGGAGATAATGTAGCTGGTTACTTTAAGTTAAAGCCAATGCTCATGTGCTATTTCAAGAATCCTAGGACCCTTAAAATTATGCTAAATTAACACTGCCTGTGCTCTAGAAATGAAACAACAAAACCTAAATGAGAGCACATTCGTTTACAACATAATTTACTGAATATTTTAAGCCCACTGGTGAGACCTACTGCTTAGAAGAAAAGTTTCCTTTAAAAATATACTGCTCATTGACGATAGACCTAGTCAGCCAAGAACTCCGCTGGAGATGAATATTGTTTTCATGCCTGCTAACACAACATCTACTCTGCAGTCCATGGATCACAGAGTGATTTTTGACTTTCTTTTTTTTTTAAATCTTTAGTTCTGGGGTACATATACAGGATGTGCAGGTTTGTTACATAGGTAGACGTGTGCCATGGTGGTTTGCTGTACCTATCAACCCATCACCTAGGTATTAAGCCCAGCATGCATTAGTTATTTTTCCCAATACTCTCCCTCCCCCTGTCCACCCCCAGACTGGCATCAGTGTGTTTTGTTCCCCTCTCTGTGCCCATGTGTTCTCATTGTTCACCTGTCACTTATAAGTGAGAATATTCAGTGTTTGATTTTCTGTTCCTGCCTTAGATTTCTGAGGATAATGGCTTCCAGCTCCATCCATGTCCCTGCAAAGGAAATGATCTCATTTATTTTCATGGCTGCATAGTATTCCATGGTGTATATGTGCCACATTTTCTTTATCCAGTCTATAGTTGATGGGCATTTGGGTTGATTCCATGTCCTTGCTATTGTAAATAGTGCTGCAATGAACATACGTGTGCATGTATCTTTGTAATAAAATGACTTATATTCCTTTGGGTATATACCCAGTAATGGGATTGCTGGGTCAAATGGTATTTCTGGTTTTAGGTCTTTGAGAAATCACCACACTGTCTTCCACAATGGTTGAACTAATTTACATTCCCATCAACAGTGTAAAAGTGTTCCTATTTCTCCACAACCTTGCCAGGATCTGTTGTTTCTTGACTTTTTAATAATCGCTATCCTGACTGGTGTAAAATGGTATCTCATTGTGGTTTTGATTTGCATTTCTCTAATGATCAATGATGTTGAGGTTTTTCTTCATATGTTTGTAGGCTGCATGAATGTGTTCTTTTCAGAAGTGTCTGTTCATATCCTTTGCCCACTTTTTGGTGGGGTTGTTTGTTTCTTGTAAATTTGTTTTATTTCCTTGCAGATTCTGGATATCAGTTCTTTGTCAGATGGAATAGGTTGCAAAAATGTTCTCCCACTCTGCAGATTGCCTGTTCACTCTGACAATAGTTTGTTTTGCTGTGTAGAAGCTCTTTAGTTTAATTAGATACCACTTATCAATTTTTACTTTTGTTGCAATTGCTTTTGGTGGTTTCATCATTAAATCTTTGCCCATGCCTATGTCTTGAATGCTATTACCTAGATTTTCTTCTAAGGTTTTTATAGTTTTGGCTTTTACATTTAAGTCTGTGATCTATCTTGACTTCATTTTTGTATAAGGTGTGAGGAAGGGGTCCAGTTTTAATTTTCTGCAAATGGATAACCAGTTCTCAGAGCACTGTGTATCAAATAGGAAATCATTTACCCATTGCTTGTTTTTGTCAGGTTTGTCAAAGATCAGATGGTTGTAGATGTATGATCTAATTTCTATTCTGTTCCATTGGTATATGTGTCTTTTTTCATACCAGGAACATGCCTCAAATAATAAGAGCCATTTATGACAAACCCACAGCCATTATCATACTGAATGGGCAAAAGCTGGAAGCATTCCCCTTGAAAACTGGCACAAGACAAGGATTCTCTCACCTCTCCTATTCAATGTAATATTGGAAGTTCTGGCCAAGGCAATCAGGGAAGAGAACTAAATAAAGAGTGTTCAAATAGTAAGGAAGGAAGTCAAAATGTCTTTGTTTGCAGATGACATGATTATATGTCTGGAAAACACCATTGTTCTGGCCCCCAAAGCTTCTTAAGCTGATAAGCAACTTCAGCAAAGTCTCAGGATACAAAATCAATGTGCAGAAGACACAAGAATTTCTACACACCAACAACAGGCAAGCAGAGAGCCAAATCATGAATGAACTGCCATTCACAATTGCTACAAAGATAATAAAATGTCTAGGAATACAGCTAACAAGGGACGTAAATGACCTCTTTAAGGAGAACTGTAAACCACTGCTCAGGGAAACCAAAGAGGACATAAACAAATGGAAAAATATTCCATGCTCATGGAGAGGAAGAATTAATATCATGAAAATGGCCATACTACCCAAAGTAATAGATTCAATGCTATTCCCATTAAACTACCATTGACATTTTTCACAGAATTAGAAAAAGCCTGTTTTAAAATTCATATGAAACAAGAAAGAGCCCGTGTAGCACAGACAATCCTAAAGAAAAAGAACAAAGTTGGAGGCATCACACTACTGGACTTCAAACTATACTTATAAGGCTACAATAACCAAAACAGCATGGTACTGATTTTGACTTTCAAGTCTTATTATTTGAGAAGTATATTTCATAAGGCTATAGCTGCCATAGATAGTGATTCCTCCATGGATCTGGTTGGGCAAAGTAAATTGGAAACCTTCTGGAAAAGATTTCTAGGTGCAATTAGGAACATTTGTAATTCATGGGAAGAGGTTTAAAAAAACCCAGCATTACCAGGAGCTTGGAAGAAGTTGATTCCAACACTCATGTATGAGTGGTCCAACACTCATGTTTGAGGGGTTCAAGACGTCGGTAAAGGAAATAACTGCAGATGTGATGGAAATGGCAAGAGAATTAGAATGAGAAGTGGAGCCTGAAGATGTGATTGAATTGTTGCAATGTCATGATAAAACTTGAATGGATGAGAAGTTGCTTCTTAGGAAGAAGCAAAGAAAGTGGCTCCCTGAGATGGAATCTACTCCTGGTGAAGATTCTGGGAACATTGTGGAAATGACAACACGGGATTTAGAATATTATATTAACTTAGTTGATAAAGCAGTGGCAGGGTTTGAGAGGATTGACTTCAATTTCAAAATAAGTTCTACTGTGAGTAAAATGCTATCAGACAGCATCACGTGCTGCAGAGAAATCTTTCACGAAAGTGTAAAAATCAATCAATGTGGCAAGCTACGTTGCTGTCTTTTTTTTTTTTTTTTTTTTTTTTTTGAGGCTGAGTCTTGCTCTGTCACCCAGGCTGGAGTGCAGTGGTACGATCTTGGCTCACTGCAACCTCTGCCTCCCAGGGTTCAAGTGACTCTCGTGCCTCAGCCTCCTGCATAGCTGGGATTACAGGCACCCACCACCACATCCGGCTAATTTTTGTATTTTTAGTTGAGATGGGGTTTCACCATGTTGGCCAGGCTGGTCTCGAATTCCTGACTTCAACTGATCCACCTGTCTCAGCCTCCCAAAATGCTGGGATTACAGGCGTGAGCCACCATGCCTGGACTTTTGTCTTATTTTTTAAAATTGCCACGGTCACCCCACCCCACCACCCTGATCAGTCAGCAGCCATCAACATTGAGCAAGACCCTCCACCAGAAAAAAGATTACAACTCTCTGAAGTCTCAGCTAATAGCATTTTTAGCAAGAAATTATTTTAAAATTAAGGTGTACACATTGTGTTTTAGACATAATGCTATTGCAAACTTAATAGACTAAAGTATAATGTAAACATAACTTTTATATACATTGGAAACCAAGAAATGCACGTGACTTGCCTTATTGCAATATTCACTGTAGTGTGGTGGTCAGGAACTGAACCTGCAATATCCCTGAAGTATGCTTGTACACTGTTTGGGAAGCCAAACATTTCCACGTTAATATATTTAATTTGTCATTGTTTCATTTCTGCTGAAAGCAGAGAGAATTTCCTGGAAGGTTGTTACAAAATGTTTATGGGTATTCATCTTAAACCCTGCAAGAAGTAATCTGCTGATGATATGAACCACCTATAATGTTGTTCCAGTACAATGGGATTAAGAAATAATCTCCAAATTAAACTTCATTACATAGTCTAATGTTTCTTCTTATTAATTTTTCAATTGAATAGTTGGGTTTATTAAAAATAAAAGAAAAATTGAGAATTATTTATCAGGCATCCTTCCAAGTGCTTCAAGCAATTATTAATTTTAAAAAGCTATTTAAATTATGAGAATGTATTTTTTAAAATCAGAAATGCCTATTCACCATCATCGCATAAAGCTTTAATGGTGAAATATTATGTGCTTTTCATTCCATTATTGCGCAAATGAATTATGTATAGAGATATAGCTGGTGCTTCTTTCCTTATTTACATTTATGAGTAGATCTCCATGCAGATAACGTGTTTGGTGAAGCAAGAAGGCAGAGGCCAGCTACACTCAACAGAAGGTGCCGTTTGAAGTCTGAGTTGGAATAATGGAGGAAGAATTTGACAACTGCAATGACGACACTTGACAAGTCTGGCTCCTGACAAAAAACACCGGCCACTAACAGTGCATATAATTCCAGTTAGCCACTACTGCTACAAAACAATGCCCATCTTGGGGCTGAACTGATCTTAGAAATAATCTTTCCAAACAGTCCAGATATCCAACACCTTCATTTTACAAATGAGATCGAGATGTGTGGCCTCTTGCCTAAGGTCCCATAGCCCTGTCCCTTGTGTCTGTATCCTCTAACCCTGGCAATAGTGCGTGCTTAACTGCTACCCCTGGGCCTATTTGAAAACTTGGCCTCTGGAGTTTATGATCGTGGCCTGGAGCAGAGCACAGAGCATCGTAAGGAACCCAGGATCCACCAGGCCTTCTGCAGCTGATCTCTGAGTCAGCCTTGCAGGGCCTGCTGCGTCTTCTGCTTGAGGGGCCTGGTGCTGGATTCTCACCTTGTCTCCTGACTCTGGCCCAAGTTCTTACGCATTAGTCTACCCACTCCTGGCAGGTCTCTGCAGAGCCAATGGCTTGGGAAACTGGCTGGCCACTTGCTCTGACTCTGTAGGACCCAGGGCTGCCCTGGCCTCTGCTTATCATCCTGAAGCCCTTTCTGTGCCCACGCCTGGTTTTAGTGCCCGGTGACCTAACTCCACATGGCTGAGCCAAAATTGATGGTCCTCGGTGTGACTGCCTGTTCAGTTGGATTCGTCCTCTGAACCTCCCAAGCCTTCCTGCTACCGGGTGGATCCCTGCCGCGTGCCTGGTTGGTGTTCTTTCTGCTTCCTGAACCATGTCTGCAGGGAAAGCTGCTGCTGGCTTTTACACTCGCCTTAGCGTGGCTATCTTTGTCCCCCTGAGGTTTGTTCTGACTGCCCCCAAAACCCATCCTTTAGCATCCTAATCTACTCCCCATGTGTAGGGAGTAGATTCATCAGTCCATGGCTTTGCCCTCCAATCTCCCTTCACCTTTTGGGTTTGATAGATGTGTGGCGCTTGTGGACAGTGCTCTCATCCACTGAGTGGACCGCGCTGCGGTTTCCGGGAGGGTGGCTGCACAGTGGACTCATGCGAAGGGGAAGGCAGCCTTTCCTTCTGCCCTGCGTGTCCCCATCCTTTCTGTCACACAGAAAAGTTTAGCAGAGAGCACTCCGAAATGCTTTCCCTCCTTTCCTGACGTGTCCCAGGCCTTTCTGGTGTGTTTGCATTCCTTGTTCTGTCCCCGCTCTTCTCTGTTTGAAGGTTCTGTCCTTTGAAACCCCGGTTTCCTGGGTTTTGTTGCCAGCTGGTTTCTGGCTTGATTCAGCCAGTGGGAGACTCGTGCCAGGGAACATCCCCATCTCTCTGTTACAGGCAGGGTCTCTGGCAGTGGCTCCTCCTACCACAGGTTCCCACTCCGGCCAGGCAGTGCCTCCCTCCATGACCCCAGTGTTAAGGTACTAAGCCTCCCACTAAGGTCCCAGCTCCCAAGACACGCACACTCTGCTTGAGGGGTGTCATCATGGTCTCCTCCCTGTGCACCCACAGCCCAGGGGTGGCTGCGGCCTTGCTATTGCTCATTTCTGGGCTGCTGTGCTATGTCCTGTTGGGTCTGACTTCATTAATTGTTAGTTGTGTCCTCAATTTAATAGCAGCTTGTGATGGTTAATACTGAGTGTCAACTTGATTGGATTGAAGGATGCAAAGTATTGATGCTGGGTGTGTCTATGAGGGTGTTGTCAAAAGAGATTAACATTTGAGTCAGTGGGCTGGAGAAGGCAGACCCACTCTGCGTTCTCTAGCCCACTGGTGGGCACAATCTAATCAGCTGCCAGCGAATATAAAGCAGACAGAAAAACATGAGAAAGCGAGACTGACCTAGCCTCCCAGCCTCCATCTTTCTCCCATGCTGGATGCTTCCTGCCCTCAAACCTCAGACTCCAGGTCCTTCAGTTTTGATACTCAGACTGGCTGTCCTTGCTCCTTAAGCTTGCAGACAGCCTATTGTGGGAGCTTGTGATCATGTAAGTTTATACTTAATAAACTCATATATATGTATTTTTTCTGCATTTCTTACACTTACCTGACTACAGCTACATTTTATGTGATATCTATCAATAAAATTAGACGTGACTGGTGTGACTTCACAAGCTGTAAGTTTCTAAATGAGTGGGATTTTACACTGCTACATTTGTGATAATTTTTTATGCAGTGATAAAATACATTATATATAATATGTATAATGTATATTATATATGTATATATTATACATTATATATTTATATATTATATATATACATTATATATTATATAATGTATATATGTATACATATAATACATATTATAATTATATATGTAATTATATTATATAATGCATATATTATATATCATATATGATATATATTTTATATATATTATATATACACACATACACATCCTATTAGTTCTATACCTCTAAGGAACCCTATTATAGATAATATACATATTATATGTATATATTATCTATTATGTATATATAATATATACATATTATATATTATGTATATATTATACATATATAATATGTATATATGATATATTATATAATGTATATATTATATATAATATATGAGATATATATTATATATAATATATGAGATATATATTTTATATATAATATATGAGATATATATTTTATATATAATATATGAGATATATATTTTATATATAATATATGAGATATATATTTTATATATAATATATGAGATATATATTTTATATATAATATAGGAGATATATATTTTATATATAATATAGGAGATATATATTTTATATATAATATAGGAGATATATATTTTATATATAATATATAAAATATATGAGATATACATTTTATATAATATATATAAAATATGAGATATATATTATATATATTATATATAATATATGATATATATTTTATATATAATATATGAGATATATATTTTATATATGTTATATATAATATATGAGATATATTTTATATATATTATATATAATATATGAGATATATATTATATATATTATATATAATATATGAGATATATATTATATATATATATTATATATATACACACACACACACATACACATCCTATTAGTTCTATACCTCTAAGGAACCCTAACACACAGCCTTTGGGGATAAATGAAGTCACACACACATCTGCAATGCATAAATCAGCTTAAACATGAAACTGCTTCAGAAATACTAAAATGTAAAGAACGGTACACTTTACTATAGCATTATTATTATCCCCCCTTTAGAAGATGTAATGCACATAGTTACAGGAATTCTCAGGGAATTTAGTCTTGTTCTCATTTAGCTTTTTTATTCTGCATTTCTTACACTTACCTGACTGCAGCTGCATTTGTGTGTGGTATCTATCAATAACCAATAGAAAGATGTTTCTGGTAATAAATACTGAGAAATATTGTCAACATATTAAAAACACATGGCTGAAAATAAGACCTCACATAGCCCATCCGTTTTTTGCTTCTGTCTTTCTCTTTCTGACAACCTACGGCTGAGTTTTGAACCTTCAGTGGAGAGCAGTTTTCTCTCTGCTTTTCAATGGAGGAGAATTCTTTTTCTTGTTTCGTAGAGCCATAGACTGTTGGGTCTACGAGGGACTGTGGTGAGCGCAATTCTGAGATTGCTCGCAAGAATCCAGGCCTCGGGTGAGCACACACCTTCTTCCATTTACTGAAACACTAACCTATCTGCTGTTGTGAAAATATTTTGCAGAGGTAATTAATGTCTCAAATTAGTTGACCTTAAAATAAGAAGAGTAGGTGGGTCTGACCTAACTGGGTGAACCTTAAATGGGAAAGGACTCTTTTGGAGCATGAGATTCAAAGTATGAGGGGCATTTGATGCATGAAAAATTCTCCTTTCCTGGCTTTGGAGAAGGAGGGGGCCGTGTGGCAAGCCAAAGTGACCCCCACTGACAATCAGCCAGGAAGTGGGACTGCAGTCCTGCAACCACCAGGAACTGACTTTTGTCACAACCGTTTGAAACGAGATGACAATGCTGTCTGGTGGACATCCCTATTTTGGTTTTGTGAGACCCTGAGTAGAGACTTTGGCCACAATCACAACACGATTGGACTTCTGACCTCCAGAGCTGTAAGCTTCTAAATGGGTGTGGTTTTAAGCTGCTACATTTGTGATGATTTTTTATGCAGTGACCGAAATCTAATACATGGACATGTTTTTCTTTTTGCAGATGAGGAAGCTGGGGCCAGGGGAAGTGAAGAAATGCATCTTCCACTTTCTTAGTGACTCCCGTGGGCACTATGCCCATGTCCAGTGGTGCGGCCATGGTGTGCATATGGGTCTCTTTCAAATGACAGTTATTTTTAAGGAAAGAAAACACCTGGCTTTCAGTGAGAGTAATCAGATAAAGCTGCTTATGTTCACTGCAAACCTCCCCTGAGGTAATGAGTGGGAGGCCCTCAGTGGAAATGTCAGAAAGGCCAGCACTTTATGCTTTATTTTCTTTATTCCCGGTCCAAAATTAGATGCAACTGGTGTGACTTCACAAGTGCTGTCCTCGGTCCCAAGCCGGGATGTGGCCACTGTTTGCCAGGGATCCTGCTGCAAAGGATTCCAAAGCTTGGCTCCCAGCCCAGATGCCCCTGCACTCCTGAGGCAGAGGCTCTGCAAGTCTTCTCCTTTCTCATTCCCGAGGCTGGGGCTTCATCCTTACAAAGTGTCCTTACAAACTCCTCCTTCCAAACCTGGCTTCTGATGAGAGGGTGCAGAGAGAAATTGGGCTTTGGAGGTAAATGTATTCTTCTCTGTATTTCATTATCTCCTGGCACCTAGCACTAGAGCCAGCCTCGCTCAATGGGCATAAAAATAAACATTTACATTTGACAGTTCATTGGTAAAATCTGAATCTTGACCTCAAGGTTTGCCTCTTTGCAACTGGTCAATCCAGGATAGATTCAGAAAACCACAGGATGGGATTTAGAGCATCTATGACCATTAACTCAGACTTGGGCTAATCTGAATAGGCAGTTCTTATCTAAAGGGAAACTCACACCACCATCATTCATTTACATTAAGCTGTCTCTCCAAACTCTATGACTGGTATATCCAGTCTACTAGGTCCTCTAGAAAATGCCTGAGCAGGCTGGGCATCGTGGCTTACACCAGTAATCCCAGCACTTTGGGAGGCCAAGGAGGGAGGATCACTTGAGACCAAGAGTTCAAGACCAGCCTGGCCAACATGGTGAAACCCCATCTCTACTAAAAATACAAAAATTAGCCGGGTGCGATGGTGCACGCCTGTAATCCCAGCTACTCAGAAGGCTGAGGCAGGAGAATCGCTTGAACAGGGAGGCAAAGGTTGCAGTGAGCGAAGACTGCCCCAGTGCACTCCAGCCTCGGTGAGAGAGTGGGACTCTGTCTCAAATAATAAAATAAAATAAAGAAAAAAAGAAAATGCTTGAGCAATAAATACATAAATAATAATAATGTATAATTTATACTCTGAAATAGCTTATAGGCAATAAAATACAGACTAGAGCTAAATGACATAATTTGAGATATAGACAAAATCTACTATGTAATGTCCTAAGCCAGAAGAAACACTGTGTGCTGAAGTTGATTGAGCATTTTTGTGGAAGACCTAAAACTTGAAATGGATCTTGAAGAAATATTCAGTTTTACAAGCTTATTCTTACTTCAGATAGACATATGGAGAAATGGATCCATTAAAGAAAATTTGGAAAGAAGAGAAGAGATTTAAGGAGGCAAACGTTTCTTACAGTCCCCCAATCCTTAAATATCCATATGTAACAACCAGGACAAGGTAGCCCATTATCTTGGTTTATTCCATGTATCTCAACCAGAATTTATCCTCCATCAGGCACTAATACAGTTTTGAGATGTCTTAAAAATTAAGCACAATTAGGAATAAGAAAACATTTTTAAAAGTATAATAACCCTTCTAACGCCAAGTAAAAACCTATTGCTTGACTTCAGCTTATTGATTTTCTTCTTCTTAGCTTCCTTGTTACCAAGGCAAAAGAGAAAAAGCATTAACTTACATTTCTGCTACTTTCTGAAGACAAACTTTCTGCTTTATTTATCAGCTTTATCCTGTTACTGAATTCAAATGAGAATGCAGTCAGGAAAACCAGGTAACATAATGGACAATGCATTTAAATACACATTTTTAAAACATGTAGACATGTTGTCCAAATGGATGAGTGTATACCTCTCAGTTATATTAGTTGCCTGCAAAATTATTATTACTATGTTATAATACAGTGTGTGTTTGTTGTCATCCAATGTTCCGGCTTCATCTAGCAAAAAATCATTAAAAATCCATGGTACTGTCAGTGAATGTGTGCATTAGATAGCCCCTCTCAAATATCACATATCTCAAGTGGACCTTCACCAGGCGCTGGATTGCCATTTATCCATATATGAATTCTCCAGCCTCAGCTTGCAGCACGGAAATTCTTCGTGGCTCATTAACATACAGGAGTCTTATGTGTTACACACCAGTCATGCATGAGGAAGAGCTGTCATTCTGATGTGTAAGACTAAAATTTAGCACAGTGAACTGCAGGGGAATCTGAAGGACAGGAATTAAAAGTAATGAGATCTCACTTTTCAAACTAAAATAGTCTCCTCCATATTATGGGACATAGAAATCCAGACTGTCAAACACATGGTCCAGTCAAGGGAAAGTGCTCATCAAATTCTCATTAATTTATTTACTGATTGTACTGACTCAGTCTGAATATAATTGCATATTAGTGGATCACAAGAATGAGTAATATATAAAATTCATAGCCGAACAATCTAATAAATTTTCCTGGGACTGTTGTCTATTTAAGTCTCTCAGTATATCCAACTACAACAATTTAATTTTCATCTATTTGAGTCTGTGAAGCTTAATTCAAACTGCACTGGCTTTGAATTTTAAAATGGTAGTGATTGCAACCAATATATTTCTCTGAAAGGAGAACCAATCTAGGGCTTTGATAAAAATGCTGTCTATTCTCCCCCTCAACCCTAGACCACAGGGCGGGGGCAGGCATTTCTCCTTCACGCTGTTGAAGGGTAGAACTTTTCAAGAACGCGGGAGAAGTCAGAGCCAGTTTTTGAACACATAGTAAGGGTGCTGATTGGAGGGTCATTTCTTCTCAAGAAAATTACTCACAAAGCTGCTTTATTGGGGTGGTTTGTTTAAATATTTTTTTCTTTCTTTCTCTCAATTGCTTATGTCCTGAGAAATGAACTTGACGCAGAAACCAGGGCTGTAGATACTAGTGACTACCTCCTTTATCCAGGGTGGCTTTTGCTGTGTAATCTTTCTCTGTCCATCTTCCTGTGCTCTAGGAATCCTGTCTCCTCAGATGTTCCTACGAAGAAGTAAACTATCTCGAAGAAGTAAACTATCTCTGAGAAGTCTCAATGTTGAACTTTATTCTGGAGAGACAGGAAAGGCCTATAATTAGAGCAATGCTTGAGTTTATATCTACTGTCTGACAAATTGACTTTACTATAAATTAGCTAAATTCCAAAACCATTTTCAGAAATAAAAATATCTTCCAAATTTAAAATGAGTTGTAAATGTATATTAAGATTAATTAAACATCCTTTGTATTGTTTTTATACATATTTTAAAAGTAACATGGGCAGAGTAATTATGTCTGGAACATGCTCACTTCTCTGGGTACTGAGGTCCTAGTGATCGCAGAACAAATTCTGCTAAGTGAACAATATTCTCAGTTTTCTTTATTTTTGCTTAATTTATGCTAGATTTTCTAATTTTTTTTTTTACAAAATAAAACACATAAAATTCTTTGGTAAATTAACAAATTTGTATGCTACAGATCATTGACCATTTCCATGTTATTCTATTCCACTGCAGAAAATAAATGTATCCATTAAAAATGCTGAGATATTAAAAAGTACAATTATGGAATTTCAAAATTATATTTTTACACTATTTGAGGTTGCTCCATTTTATTTATCAGGTTTCTTGCTTTTGAAGGAATAAACTTCAGCCCCTTCTCCTTGCATGGTTTACTTTCAATTACAATTTACTAAAAGCTATAAAATCTAAAGTTATTCTTGTCATATTGGGTGTTGAAAATTTTTGAATAAAATGATTTGCACCTGAGAACATTTAAAATCTAGTCTTTAAGAAATTTTGAAATATACAATGCATTATTATTAATTATAGTCACCATTCTGTGCAATAGATCACTAAGGCTTATTCTTCCTGGCTAGCCAAAATTTTGTAACCTTGGATCAACATCTCCCTTTTTCCCATCCACCCTCCTCTCCTGCCTCTGAAAACCACCAAATTGGTAAGTGTATTAGGTGATGGAGATGTTAATTAGCTTGCTTAAATCATTCCACAATGTAAGCATATATCAAAATATTACATTGTACCCCACAAATACATACAACTATTATTTGTCAACTAAAAATAAAATAAAAATTTTTGAGAAGACTTGAACCTGACTTTGAAGATCATGTGATCCAAATTTAGAGGCTGAGTTTACTAAAAACTGAGTTTAATGCCATGGCAGGACCCTGAGGTTGATTTATAGTGAAGTTCTTCAAAGGCTTATGCATTTCTACTATTGGACTGATGATAGACCCAAAGACAGAATGTGGGTGTCACTGGGATCATGTATTTCATTGGATTCAACATCAGCTTTTTTTAAACAAGATTTTGTAGTTCAGTTTCTCTCTCTCACTCTTTCCATTCACACACACATACACATTTAAACAAATTGTAATATTTTACCAATCCAAATAGAAGTTACCATAGTTTTCCTAATTTAGGAAAATATTGTTTTTACATCACTCTGCTCTACCAAAATTTGCAGTGCCACCACAAAACCATTTAATAAGTAAATACAAAATATATAAAACTGTTGCCATTTATTTGTAAAGTTCTACTGCTGTTGAAGGAATCAAAGTATTAAGTCATTCCTTGCTATTTTCTTACACACACACACAGACACAGAGAGAGAGAGAGAGAGAGAGAGAGAGAGAGAGAGAGAGAGAGAGAGACAGACAGACAGACAGATAGAGAGACAAATTTGGAGAAGAAAATTATTAACGACGAATTTAGAAGAATAGTTCTCTGATGAAAATAAAAACTGCCCTGCAGAATGAAATGAAAATAGTTTCTGTAACTGTTAAATCATTATTTGGGGCACAGATCTTTGTGTCCTGCTTTCATGTGGTCCGTGACCTTATTCTGACTTCTGAGACTGGGGCTCTACACTGCCTTCCTGCTAGGGTTTGGAATCTTGCCTCTGAATCCGAAACCCAGTAGCTGGGATCTCCTAGCCGTTCCAAATCCCCTAACATAAACCACCCATCTGCGTGTTGGAATTGATGCGATTGTTCTCCATTCCCCTGCTGGGATACCATCCACTCACGGGATTTTCCTTCTCCGTTTTGCCTTGCTAAACCACCACCAACCCTCTAAGGCCCCTTTCTCTGTGATGACCATACAATTGCCTCCTGGCCAGCACTCATCTGTCTCCCTCACTCACCCTGTGATAAATCGAGGTGTTGCCTCTCTCCTCCATTAGCCTTATTCCATTAAGCTAAGCATCTCCGTTTCCTTCTCACCTAATATGCAATGAAAAGCTGGCATCGTTAGAGGAAGTGGTCAAGAGAAAAATTTGTTAATAATTAATTTGAGGTATTTGAGGATATAGGTCACCTTTAAAATCTACTTTTCACAAATGCTTTCCCAATTAACTTCACAAGTGATATTTTATATCCTGTCCAGAAAAGTGGGTTCCAATCTTTGCCAAATAATTCTGGAAGCAAGGGACTTTCTCTAGGGGAGTTCCCCTGGTCATTGAGTGATAGTGTAGGTAAAGTTACTTAGTGTCACTGTGACGGGGACCTGGCGAGCTGGCAGGACCAAGGGGGTTTCTCTCGTTCCTGACATGATTGTTAGAGCTGTAGCAGGATCCCAGTCTCATGGACCCAGGATGAATGGCAGGCTCCCGGCAATGGATTAAACCAATAAGACAGAGACCCAGCAAACAGAAGGACTTGGATTTAAGGGTGTTTCAGAGTTTAAAAAACACATTCATAAACATGTGGAAGCCTCCCATACAAGGGATAAGGCACAATGCATTTATTAGGAACAATAAGTAAGGTCAAATCAGACAGCCATGGTGTCAAGACCGGGGCTCCTAGTCCAAAGCTGATTGAGGATATTACTCCAGGCCAAACAGACTTAGGGATAGTTGGAGGATGGTTTATTGAGATTATCAGAAAGAAAGACCACTCCCAAAGCAACTCATATTCCCTTGGGAGCCTCCTCTCTTGAGTAAAGAAGCGGAGAAGGCGTTCCAGCCTGGGGTTTATTTGAAGGGAACAGCTTGAGTAAGCTCAGAGAAGAGAGAAGCTTCTCAGAAGGGGGTTGGATCCTCCCCACTCCCAGACTGTGAGTCTCATACCTGTTATTTTTAGCAGGAAGAAATTGGAGACCTGAGCATCAGGTAGAAGTCTAAGCTGGAGCCCAGTTGAGCAGTGTGGAGAAGAGGAAGGAGGAGACGAGGTTCTCCAAGCAGTTATTCTGGAAGGAGAGGATGCACTTTGGTTCATTTTGGTGTGAGGGATGGGGCACTGAATGCAAGTGGAAAAGGATGATGGGTATAATGGGCTCACAAAGAAAGGCAGATCCTCGCATTTCTTTTAGACAATAAATGACACTTTTCTTCTGGAGGACATAAATCCAAGAGAAACTGCATTCCAACATGTGAATAAAAATGTTCCCAGGCTCAAAGGCTCTTACAGTACTCAGCATGCAACAAAACTCCGGAGAAGAAAGGGCCCGCCTTCTGAAACTGCTGATGGAGCACAGAAGAGAGATGGAGCAATAGGAGGACCTTGATTTAGACAGAAAAGAGGCTTCATCCTTCGGGTCCGTCCTTACCATTGCTGAGAAAGCAAGACATTGTGGTTGTTCCACTGCACACAAGGAAAGAAGAATAAACAAATTCAAGAACAAAATAAATCTACATGCGATGCTGTCATGCAGGTGACGACGTCCCTGTTTTCACTTACTTACTAACGTCCCTGTCTTGTTAATGTGACCATCCCTCAACTAGTTTTGGCAATTTAAGAGAGATCATAGCATCTAAAAATCTGGGCGTTAGAGGGAGACCGTGTGTCTTCATTTACCAGCCCCTCCACTGATTACCTGGGCCACTATGGGCAAGTTACTTCACATCTTAGAAACATTTCTTCCTCTATAAAATGAATATAAGCAAAAAACAACCCATAAAAAAATTGGGCAAAGGACATGAAAAGTCACTTTTCTTTTTTTTTTGAGACCGAGTCTCACTCTGTCACCCAGGCTGGAGTGCAATCGTGCAATCTCAGCTCACTGCAACTGCTGCCTCTCAGGTTCAAGGGATTCTCCTGCCTCAACCTCCCAAGTAGCTGGGATTATAGGTGCCCGCCACCACGCCCAGCTAATTTTTGTATTTTTAGTAGAGACGGGGTTTTACCATGTTGGCCAGGCTGGTCTCAAACTCCTGACCTCAAGTGATCTGCCTGCCTCAGCCTCCCAAAGTGCTGGGATTACAGGTGTGAGCCACCGTGCCTGGCCAAAAAGACACTTTTCAAAAGAAGATTTACATGCGGGCAACAAGCATATGAAAAATGCTTGGTGTTACTAATTATTAGAGAATGCAAATCAAAACCACAATGAGATACCATCTCACACAAGTCAGTATGGCTATTATTAAAAAGTCAAAAATTAACAGAGGCTGACAAGGTTGCATAGAAAAGGGAATGCTTATACACTGCTATGGGGCATGTAAATTGGGTCAGCCACTGTGGAAAGCAGTTGGAGATCTGTCAAAGAACATAAAACAGAATTACCATTCGACTCGCAATCCTATTATTGGGTTATACCCAAAGGACTATATATTGTTCTATTATAAAGACACATACACATGTATGTTCATAGCAGCACTATCCATAATAGCAAAGACATGAAATCAACCTAAATGCTCATTAACAGTAGACTGGGTAAAGAAAATGTGGTACAGGTACACCATGGAATACTATACAGCCATAAAAAAGAATGAGATTATGTTCTTTGCAGCAACACGGATGGAGCTGGAGGCCATTATCCCAAGTGAACTAACACAGGAGCAGAAAACCAAATACTGCCTGTTCCCATTTAGAAGTGAGAGCTGAACACTGAGTACGTATGGACACAAAGGAGGAAAAAACAGACACTTGGAGTGGGGAGAAGGGGGAGGATAAAAAAAAAACTACCTATCAGATACCATGCTGATCACCTGGGTGACAGAATAATCTGTATACCAAACCCCTGCAGCACACAATTTGTTTATATAACAAATCTGTACATGTACACCTGAATCTCAAATAAAATTAGAAAAAAAAAAAGAACATAAGACCTTTTTGACTTGCTAGGTTTAGTAAATAAAAATACAGGATAACCTGTTAAATTACTATTGTAGATAAGATACAGATCCTTTTATGTACGGCTCTGTCCCAAATATTGCATGGGGCATAATTATACTATTTATTTGTTGTTTATTTGAAATTTAAATGTAATTGGGTGTTCTGTGTTTAATCTGGCAACCCTAACAAAGTTTCATTTATCATCCTAAATAATTCCCATCATGAAATGCTAACATATTGTGTGGGTATAGTAAGCATTAAAATATTAATTACCATTGTTTTCATTCTATAAAGATGATCTAGAACAAACTACATATACAGTAAGTTAGGGAATTGAGGCTTACAAAGTATATGCTACTTACCTGAGATCATGCACACAGGTTTTTTTTTGTTGTTTTTTTTTTAAATTTCATTAGTGATAAAACTGAGACCTCTAGCCTCCTCACTGCTGATTTTTCTACAGCATCTAGGTCAATCATCCTGGTGAATGGGAAATCCATCCATAGCAGTCCTTTAATTATGCCTTCCCTGGGCCTAATGCTGTGTCTTTACTATGAAAACTGTGGCCAGAGCACCAGCAGCGACTGCACCTTCTGGGAGCTTGTTAAAAATGTGCAGTATCAGGCTTCATCCTTCATCAGAATCTGCATTTTAAACAGAATCCCCCAGGGATTTGTTTTGTTTTGTTTTTGAGATAGAGTTTCACTCTTGTTGCCCAGGCTGGAGTGCAATGGCGCGATCTTGGCTCACTGCAACCTCTGTCTCCTGGGTTCAAGCAATTCTCCTGCCTCAGCCTCCCGAGTAGCTGGGGTTACCGGTGTGGGCCACGACGCCTGGCTAATTTTGTATTTTTAGTAGAGATGGGGTTTCTCCATGTTGGTCAGGCTGGTCTCGAACTCCCAACCTCAGGTGATCTGCCCCCGCCCCCCTCGGCCTCCCAAAGTTCTGGGATTACAGGCGTGATCCCCCAGGGATATGTTTGCACACTAGCGTTTGAGGAACTCTTTCCTGGCTCAGCCTCAGGCCTGTCTCCAGCCTTTATAAGAGTGGTTCTTGTTCCTGGCTGTAGATTAGAATCACCTGAGCAGGTTTTAGAAACCAGTGGTATCTAAACCCTGCTCCAGAGATTTTGACTTCATTGGCCTTGGGGTGGGCTCGGGGAATTGGTGGTTTTCTTTCAACTCCCAAGTGCTTCTAATTGTCTTTGCTTTGAATCACTGATTTAAGAAGAGCTTTCCCACCTAAGGCAAAAGACACTGAAATAAATCGATGTCTCCAATGACATATATTTTCCTTCAGCATTGACAGACTGAATATATGACCAGACCATATTAAAAAAAAAATAGAACTCTGACCCACAGTCCTCAGCAATCAGCCCAGGAGGCCAGCCCATTCTCTACAGCGAGCTTATCCAACCTGCAGCCTGCAGGCTGCATGCGGCCAAGGATGACGTTGATTGTGGACACAAATGCGTAAAATTTCTTAAAACATTACGAGATTTTTTTTTTTTTGCCATTTTTTTCTTTTAGCTTATCAGTTATCGTTAGTGTTTGTGTATTTTATGAAAGGAAAATATCTTGGAGCCCCGAAATCACTAAGCTAAAGGCAAAAGTCAAGCTGGGAACTGCTTAGGGCCAACCTGCCTCCCATTCTGTTCAAAGTCAACCCTCCGCTCATTGAGATAAATGCATCTCTGATTGCCTCCTTTAGAGAGGCTCATCTGAAACTGAAAAGAATGCAACCGTTTGTCTCTTATCTACCTACAACCTAGAAGTCCCCTCCCCAGTTTGAATTGTCCTGCTTTTCCAGACCGAACCACCATTCATCTTACATAGGTTAACTGATGTCTCACATCTCCCTAAAATGTATAAAACCAAACTGCGTTCTGACCACCTTAGGCACATGTCATCAGGACCTCCTGAGGCTGTGTCCTCAACCTTGGCAAAATTAACTTTCTACATTAACTGAGACCCCTGTCTCAGATTTTCGGGGTTCACAATTTCATGTGTAGCCCAAGACAATTCTTCTTTCAGTGTGTCCCAGGGAAGCCGAAAGATTGGACACCCCTGACTACAGAAACCAGTCCAGGAGAAGCCAGCCTGCTATCCACAAGCCAGACTTACAGGCAGTCAGACCACTTTCTCCAGCAATCAGTTCAGGAACCCAAACCCTAACCCCTCTAACAACTGGGTCGAAGTGGTCAGGGCTTGATTAATATCTGACAGCGTCTCAGATTTTTAGTTCCACTTCTAACTTAAGACCAATCAAGGAAGGACAAATATGGTCCCCTAACCAACTGCCCAGCATGCCCTTTTTCTAATTAGCCGACCCCAGCTTCTCCACACCAACAGCCCCAAGTAGGGGCACCCCTTTCTGCCACCATAAGGCTTTCCCACTGCCATGCCTACCTTTGAGTCTCTGCCAATACACGAGCAATGCTGGTTGACTCCCTTGCTACAGCAAGTGCTGAGTAAACAGTCTTTCTTATTCTGGTTTGGTTGGTCTTTGTGTTTGTCCTCAGCCTGCTGCTGGAGATGAGCTGGGTGCAGGATAAGCATGTGGGTCAGAGGGAACAGACTTTCAATACACTGTGAAGACTTCTATGCTTACCCTGCTACTCCTTTCAAGCCTGCCTCAGCAAACAGTGGGATCAAAGTTAGATGGACTCAGCCATTTGCCTCCTTAAGCCCCCAAGTCCTGCTCCTCATTTCTCCTCTGTCATCTGACCTGCCTCATTCTGGCCTGTGCTTCTGAGAGTCCTTGTAGGGCATAAGCTCTGGAACTTGAAAGGCTTGGTTTGAACTGAAGCTCCATAGATTAGTTGTGCAACTGCGAATAACAGGATGAATCATTTTGTGCCTTGGGCTCCTGATTCTATCTCTGGGGGTGTGGTGAGAATTAAACAATGGATGCCTCTGAAGTGCTTAGTCCTGGCGGGGCTCAGTAACTTCCCTGTGAGCGTAAGCACCGTTCTCATCATTCTGCAAGGGGCTATTTTTTCTCCTCACTTTGTCACTCAAGCAAAGACAAAGACTCCCTTCCTGCTTGAATCAAGGCATTGTATATAATATAACTTACTAAAGGTTGGAGAAAAGGCAGGGCTGTATCAGTTAGTTTGACTGCGGTAACAAAATGCCATGGGCAGTTGCCTTAAACATTTCTTTTCTTTCGGTTCTGGAGGTTAGAAGTTCAGGGACCCAGCTGATTCCATTTCGGGTGAGGGCTCTCTTGTTGGCTTTCAGGGGGCTACCTTATTGCTGTGTTTTCATCTCAGGTGGTCTTGTAGAAAGAGATCAAGCTCTCTGGTGCCTCTTGTAAAGACAATAATCCCATCGGATCAGGGCTCCAATCTTACGACCCCATTTAATGTTAGTTACTTCCTTATTCCAAATACAGCCACACTGGGGGTTAGAACTTTAACATGAATTCTTGGGAAACAGATATTCCAGTGCATAACAAAGATACTTTAAAGAGAAATAATAAACATAAAAGTGCCTATTGGCTGGGCGCAGTGACTCACGCCTGTAATCCCCACACTTTGGGAGGCCGAGGCAGATGGATCACGAGGTCAGGAGTTTGAGGCCAGCCTGACTAACATGTTGAAACCCCATCTCTACTGAAAATACAAACAATTAGCCGGGTGTGGTGGTGCACACCTATAATCCCAGCTACTCGGGAGGCTGAGGCACAAGAACTGCTTGAACCCAGGAAGTGGAGGTTGCGGTGAGCTGTGATCATGCCACTGAACTCCAGCCTGGGTGACAGAGCGAGACTCTGTCTCAAAGAAAAACAAAGGGCATATCAGACATCCTTGTTCCAATTGGGCTCTTTGTGGTTCCTGCTGCCGGAGGCCCCCTGGTATCTCATTCTCTTCTCAATCCAGTGCAAGTGAGGCTCACATTCATTGTTTCGAGGAGCTGCTCTTGTTTCCAGAATCCAGGGTCTCGTTGTTTCCAGCCCCCGTCCTTTGGCCTTTCTGTCACCCAGGCTTTCCAGAGGCTGGTAATCAATTAACATGTGAACGGCTTCTGGCCCCATAGGCACCTTTTACAACGTCAAAGATTGCTATTCAGCTCTCCCTGTTTCAATAGCTCTTTACCTTACTTCAATCTTTTCAGGATAGAAGACATCAGGTTTAAAAACCCACTGAATTATCATACCTTCATTTGTTCAGACCTATTCATTGAGCTCCCGCCATGTACCAGGCACTGTGCTGAGTGATGGGAATGTGGCAGTGAGTAGACAGAGTGCCTGCTCTCACGCAGTGAACACTTGAGGAAGAGAAGAAAGCTGGCTTAGACCGGGGGTCAAGGAAGACATGTGAGGGAAATGACTTGTCAGCTGAGGTCTAAATAATGCAAGTTTTCTTGGTTAAAGGCACATGTGTGGGGATGCCTGGATGGAAGGGGTAAGGAATTGGAGAGACCATTCCGGAGAGAGAGACTACATGGAGAAAGATCCATTATCAGAAGGAAATAAAACATCAGGACTTTATCGGTATATTAGCCAGGGTTCAACAAGGAAAATAGAAACCACCTGTAGTTCTTAAACCAGAAGAAATCTGGGAGGAAATTGCTTACTTTGATAAAGGGAAAGCTAAGAAACCAAAGAGGTGACCTTATGCCACAGAAGGGATTAGCAACAGCAGGCAGCTGTTCTTACATTTCAGTTCTTAAATGTAAGAGATTTTGCACTTCAAAATACACCATAAGAAAATTCGAAGGTAAGTTACAGGCTATTAGGTAATATCTGCAAATCATACCTCTGATAAAAGATTGATATGCCAAATATATAAAGAATACTTACAACAACAACGATAGCAACAAGCAACTCGACTTACAAATGGGCAAAAGACTTGAGTGACATTTCACCAAAGAAGACATATAAATGGTTACTAAGCATTTGGAAAGGTGTTAAACATCAATAAACATTAAAGAAATGAAATGAAAACCACTTCACACCCACTAAAGATGTCTACAATTTTTAAAAAGACACACAATACAAAGTTGATACTTCTACATTTAGAAAACCTGGAACCTTGGCCGGGCACGGTGGCTCACGCTTGTAATCCCAGCTTGGGAGGCCGAGGTGGATGGATCACCTGAGGTCAGGAGTTTGAGACCAGCCTGGCCAACATGATGAAACCCTGTCTCTACTAAAAATACGAAAAACTAGCTGGGCGTGGTGGTGGGTACCTGTAATCCCAGCTACTCGGGAGGCTGAAGCAGGAGAATTGCTTGAACCCGGGAGGCAGAGGTTGCAGTGAGTCCACATCGTGCTGGCCACTGCACTCCTGCCTGGGTAACAGAGTGAAACTCCGTCTCAAAAAAAAAAAAAAAAAGGAACCTCATACATTGCTGGTGACAATGTAAAATGGAACAGCCACTTTGGAAAATTGTGTGGCAGTTTCTTAAAAAGGTAAATATAAACTTCCCAAAGACCTTGTAATTACGCTTCTAGGAATCTGCTTGCAATAAATAAAAACATACATCCTCAAAAAGACTTGTATGTGAACGTTCATGGCAGCATTCTTCAAGGCGGCCCAAACTGGAAACAACCCACATATCTGTCACCTGGTGAATTCAGAATTTGGTATCTCCATGCAACGCATTATTATTCAGCAATAAAAGAGGAACTACTGACACCTCCTATACCATGGACAGAACTCCAAAACATGCTAAGTGAAGGAAGCCAGACACAAAGAATCCTTATTAAATAGAAGTTTACGGAGCCAGAAAGCAGACTGGTGGTTGCCTGAGGCTGGCGATGGGAGCATTGATTGACTGCAAGGAGGGTGATGGGAAATTTTTGGGGTGATGGAAATGCTGCAAACTGGATTGTAGGGATGGCTTAGCTGCACACATTTACTGAAAGTCATTGGATTGTGCCCTTACAGTGGGTGGAGTGGGGTTAAATTACATCCCAAAACAGTTGTTAAAAATTACAAATAGGGGTCAGGCATGGTGGCTCACACCTGCAATCCCAGCACTTTGGGAAGCCAAGGCAGGTGGATCACCTGTGGTCAGGAGTTTGAGACCAGCCTGGCCAACGTGGTGAAACCCCATCTCTACAAAAAATTCAAAAATTAGCTGAGCATGGTGGCAGGCATCTGTAATCCTAGCTACTCAGGAGGCTGATGCAGGAGAATTGCTTGAATCCGGGAGGTGGAGGTGCAGTGAGCCAAGATCGCGGCACTGCACTCCAGCCTGGGCAACAAGAGCAAGACTCCATCTCAAACAAACAAACAAAAAAAAAGTTGCAAATAATATATCTTGTTGCAATAATATAGACTCAGCATCAACATGGTCATGTTGTCTCTCCTGTTCTATCTCTCCCAGTCTGTGAGCTGCTCTTGAAGATTTTGCACCCATTTCTGACAGCCTTATTGTTCCATTTCTAGTAAAGTTCACAGGTATTAAATTCCTCATTAGAACATGATGTTCTTCATTCTGAAAACTGCTTTCCTTCAAGCAATTATTAACCACTCTTGTCAAGGCCACCCCTCATGCCAGCTGGCTACAAGTCTCTGCACACTCTTGGACCATCCATCACCAAGGAGCAACATCTGCTGCGTGCTTTTGCCTTCGCTGCCTTATAAAGCAGAGGGAGATCGGAGTCCTGCGCCTGCCTCCATGCTTGTACTCGGAGTTGCTTTTCTGACTCAGAGCTAATATAAGCCTGACCTCACTCCTCCCTCTGGAATTTGAAACAACAGAAGAACAAGGACAGTGCAGAACCTTTTAATGGGTTTCAAATCTCCAACAAGATTCTGCACAGGCAAATGATCCATATACCATCATGAAGTAAAACAGGAGGCAAGAAAAAAGGCAAAAGAAAAAAAAACTGGCAAATCCTGTCTCTGGGCTTATGCTCAGGAGCAGCTCAAATTTTTTCTTTCCTTTCTTTTTTTATAAAAGAAGTATTCTTTCCACGCTTGAGCCTATCAGGGTGAGATCTGCTATCTTTATTTTCAAGTATTCAGTCAAAACCAACCAATCAAACAAATGAACAAACAGAAAAAATACTCATCCTCTCTGCCTACAGCCCACACCCCCCAAAAGATAAAAATAATCTTGAACTCTGGCTCACAAGTGAGGTAAACAAAAATTTTAGTTCTGACTCTGCTGCTGTGTAACCTAAGGCAAGACCGAAAGACTTGGAACGGACTCATTTTTGTCCAAGAATCTCCTAGGAAAGAGGGATTTGTCTTCTTAGTTTCACGAAACCGAACTACAACAGTAGATCTAATGGCATGTTGAAAAAATAATTTCAACATATTGTGATTAATGTCACATTTCCTAACCCACTGAAAAGAAACTGAATGTCGGTATTCAAAAATGAGTAGAATGATTTATTCTCTTTTATTAATTACTTAGTATTCTGATGCTTAGGAGCAGGCATAGGTAAAAGTATGGAGACAGAATTGATTACATAATTTATCATGCAAAACAGGATTAAGGAGTGAAAAAACGCAGTAGTCATCGTGCTGGGACTGCGGGAATAAGAAGAACTGTCTTGGGCCCTCCTTAAAGTCTACTTGGTTTCGCCAATTTAAGAATTTCGAATGGAGCTTGATTTGCTTGGCAGGCAAGCTGGCTTGGGTCCATCGGGAGCCTGGGCATGGGGAGGAACATGCCAGTGTGAGTGCCAGTGGAGGGAGAGGTGGGCAGAATTCCCCATGAGGGAGAGGCACTGGAAAGCTCTCTTCCCACGCCTCCTGGAGCTGCCACGACAAACTCCTGCAGACGGACAGCTTGAACAACAGAAGTTTATTTTTTCACAATCCTGGAGGCTGGAAGTCCAAAATCGAGATGTCAGTTTCTCCTGGGCCTCCCTGCTGGGTTTGCAGAAGGCCGTCTTCTCTCTGAGTCTTCACATGGTCGTTCCTCTGTGTGTGCCTGTGTCCTCATCTCCTTTTCCTATAATGACACAAGTCAGGTTGGATGAGGGCCCATCCCTATGGCCTCATTGTAATTTAGCTATTTTTTAAAAGACGCTATCTCCGTAGACAGTCCCATTCTGAGGTGCCAGGGGCTGGGACTTCAGCACATGCGTTTTGGGGGGAACGCCATTCACCCCATAATGTGGGCTTTCTTACATACCTGTGACTGGAGCCTTGACGGCGCCTCAGTCAGAGCTGATCACCCAAGCGCTCCCAGTCTCTGCCCTCCCTAGCTTGCTCTGACCCTGGCATGGCCTCAGGAGCCCTCTGTAGAGCTCCCTGCAGCACCGCCTCTGTGCCAATCCAGGGTGTGAGCCAGGGAGCAAGACAGACGGGGAGTGGGGAGGAATGAATTGAACAGCCTCAGGGTATGCACGCCAAATGCAGAGCAGGCCCGTGCCTTTAAACAGAGGACCATTCCTTTCCTTTTAAGCCTGTTCTTGGCCTCCCCCGCCCACCTCTGCAGAGACCAGGGGCTGAGGCCAGTGGGGTGGCGTTTGTTTTGGTGACTGTGTTTATGTTCTCACTTCA
Organism: Homo sapiens; assembly: GCF_000001405.40. Lineage (NCBI taxonomy): Eukaryota > Metazoa > Chordata > Mammalia > Primates > Hominidae > Homo > Homo sapiens. Next base: position 153,524,380 of record NC_000007.14, read on the forward strand.
GGCGGCTGACAGGAACACACTGCTAATGAGAGCTTTGCCTGTTAGGGAGATGCTGTTTATGCAACTTCCAAAGAAAAAGAACAGCCGCCTGTGTACTAGGTGTTCACAGGGTGGGAGGGAGCTTTTTGGAGCCTCTCCAAGGAGGAGGTGGAGGGAGAGAGTTGTAGCTGGTCCACTAGCTCCGTGTATGAATCCTCTGCCCTGGCACAGCCCCATCATACAAGGTCATATCCTCCTAGAATGAGAGAAAGGAGTGGGCAGATGCCATCCTGGTCCTCAGTATGCTCAGAGCTCAACAGTAGTCAAAGGTTAAACAAAGTCACATTAAAACTCCCCAGGAGGAAGCATTCAAATAGCAAAAAAAGCAAAGTTAGGAAATATAAAATGTCAGCTAATATATGATTTCCCCCTTTGGCTTATTCGTTCCTCAAATCCTACTAGGGTGGTGTTACAGGGGCGGCCCCAGAGTGCTTACTCAGGGGCCATGTTTCTGGGGGTAACACTTCTTTCCTAGAGAAGCCCTCTAGTGCCTTCCAATGAACCATGCAGTGAATCTGAGGAAGCCGTCATTCTGATTCAGTGAAGAAGAATCACAAAGATGGCTGGCATTGCAGACCTGCAGAAGACCTGTCATCTCAGAAAGTCTTTGGACCTTCCTTTCAGTGCTCCTGCTGCTGCAGGGGTGTCTCCCAACTTGAGCTTCTTGAGCAGCAACTCCATCCACCGCCTCAGCTGGGCCCTGGTGTAGGAGCTCTGCTATAGGCATGGTGGGCTCCCTGGTCTATCCACACAAATTGTGACTGAGCTGAGGGTCACCCACTGCACTTGGTCTCAGTCCACAAGCCCCTGATGGTTCAGAAGGTGACTTGGAGTAGGATATGACTTCTTTTTAATGAAATGGCATAGACTATAACTTAATAAGGCATTGTTTCAAGAACTAGCTAGTTTTCCTGTAGGGGAAAGTGGCACAGAGCTCGGGCAGAATCATCCTATTTAGACGGCAATTTGTGAAATATTTTTTAAAAGGTTAGTCCTCCATGCCCACTGTTTGCATCCTGGGTTTGGACTTGGGAGCAGAAGGATGGAATTGGCAGTGGCAGGCACATCACATATGCAAACCGAGACCCTGTGAGAAGATGGTTTGAATGTCCGAGATAACACTGTTATTTCACCAGTGAGACACGGGAGCCTAGAAGAGTACTGATCCCAATCAAAGAAACCCGTGTGCCTTCCTGGCAGCATGCCTCACTCCATCCTCCAGGTCCTCAGAGCACTTTCTCCACCCCACTGTGTGCTCCAGGCACGATGCAGACAGTCACAGACCTCTCTCTACAGGAGCCATCTCTCAGGATCCAGAGCAGGGGTGAGGGTCATGAGTGCTGGTGTTGGTCACACGTGGGCCCCAATCCCAACCTTGCAACTATGATCTCTGCAATACTGGGCAGGCCCCTTAGTTGCTCTGATCTTTGGTCTTCTCATTTGTTAAGTTGACAGAATAATAGTAACTCTCCCACAAGGTGGTTATGAGGATTAAATGAGATAATGCATGCACAACATTCAATACAGTAAGTGCTCAGCCTGTGGTTACTGTGAATATCCTTGAGGCTAAATTGGGCATCCTTAAGATTAAAGAAAAAACTCACAAAAAAACAAAAAATAGCACTTTGCTCATATCCCTAGTGTCCAGCAGAGTGAGCGTATGTAGTAAATGTTCAATGCATAACAGCTGAATAGATGAATAAACAAATATATTCATTGCAAATCAGATTGCACAGATATATGCACATTTGGCCTCCTTTTAAAAATAATGTTAACACAGAATAATTTATTTAAAAAGAGTTTTACCAGGGAAAGAAAGGGAACATTACATCCAGAGATTCTAGCGGAAGAAAGTTCCTACATTTATAAGTAATACTTAGTTCTGAACTCTATAGCAACCAACATTTGCCTTATATATATTTATATGGGCTGCACACAAGATGAAAAATCAAGAGAGCAGTAGAACATAGTGGTAAATAATACAGATTTTGGAGCCATCCTGCTTGAGTTCAGATCCCAACTCTACCACTTTCTAGTGGTCTGACATTAGCCACTTAACCCATCATATTGGTGCCGTCATTTTCCTATCTGTGCATATTCCATAGGATTATGAAGATTAAATAGGTTAATTTGCATAAATCACTTTTATATGGCTTACTATGTATCAACTACTGTTTTCTTTTTGCTTTCCATTGAATTTGGGTATTTATTCATCACCTTGAAGACGACTGCATAATCTGCCTCTTCCTGTGGGATTTAAACAACAAATTAAATTAACCATAGGGGTTATAATCATGTTGGTAGCTGAGATTTGTACCAGTGAAACAGTAAGAGGACCCTGAAGTCTTGTACTAAATGCCCAAGAACCTCTCCGTCCCCCACTACATAGTCGGGGATCTCAGGATGTGGGGAAGGTCGAGCTGTGGCTCCTCCAGGATGAGCGGGGTCTGCCCAGGATGAGAGCCCCTGACTGAGATGGCACGATGAGGGCGGTGGGGGCAGATGGGCAAAGCTGTGGAGGTGGGATCCACAAGGACTACAACTGGGGTGTGGGAGGGAATAGAGAAGTGGCGGGGGCTTCGTGCAGGACAGAAACAGGACACATGGCGGAGTGGGAGCTCGTCCACCGTGGAAGCCCTGACAGAAGGCCTGGCAGGGAGAAAGCGCAGCCTGCTGTGTGTGTGACCTCACTTGGAGATGAATATTGCCTGGGGAATTCTGGATGCAAATAAGCCCCCATTCGACCTTGGAGCACAACCTGGAGCCATGGCAGGGCCAGAATTGCATGTGACCCTCCTGCTGTCGTAGACCCAGCGCCTCTTCTCACTGCAGCTCTGTGTGTGAATGTGCTGGGTTGTTCCCTGTGTTCCCAGAATCCAGCTCATCGCATCCAGCATGGAGGAACAGGTTGACGCTCCCTTATCCAAAACGCTTTTTGGATTTTGGAACATCTGTGTCATACCTAATGAAATATCTTGAGGATGGGACCCAAGTCTAAACAGAAAATCCATTAATGCTTCATATGCACCTCAAGCACATCACCTGAAGGGAACTTTAGACAATATTTTTAGAATTTTGTGCATAAAGTTTTGACTGCATTTTGACTGAGACTGATGACATGAAGTCAGATGTGGAATTTTCCAATTGTGGCATCATGTCAGTCCTCAAAGAGTTTTGGCTTTAGAGCATTTTGATTTTTGGATTTCTGGACTAGGGATGCTCAAACCTGTACTCGATTCATTGGATTAATCCAAGGACAGAGAAGGATGGAGCTAGAGAATTAAGGTAGTGGGGGCTGGAAAGGGGCAAAGAGGCTCCCACTTGTAAGGGGAGCAGGGGCCTCAGGGGAAGCCTGGGGAGTCGGTGGCTTGATGACCTTTGTTTCTCTTAGGATGGGACCACTTTGCCTTCCTTTTCCTGTAGTCAAGCCATACTGCCCATGCTGTCTTAGGCCGTTCTTGCATTGGTATAAAGAAACACCTGAGACCAGGTAATTTACAAAGGAAAGATGTTTAATTGACTCATGGTTCTGCAGGCTGTGCGGAAAGCATGACACCACCATCTGCTTCTGGGGAGGCCTCAGCATAAGAGTTAAAGAAAGAGGAAAGAAACACGAAAAGCAGCTTAACAGTCAAAGGCAGGTTTATTTTGGAGAATAAACTTGAGAGGGGCTTCTGGCCAATTTCAGTCAGGAACGTTCTCTCTTACAGTCTAAGGGAATTTAAGGGTTTAGGAAGGGGGAGCTTATTGCAGGATTGGAATGTTTCTATGTGAGGAAAATTTTATTGTGGGGTTGGCATGTTTCTGGTCGGAGTGGGGTTTATCTTAGGGTTGGAATGTTTCTGGTTATGCTGACATTAGTCATTAGGCTGATCTTTTGGGGCTGGATTTAGGCAGTTTCTTTTATTCAAGGGGAACTTAAAAGGTGGTGTTTGTCCAAAATGGTGATGCTCCTGCTCTGTCACTCAGGAACCTTCCAGTCATGGCAGAAGGTGAAGTGGGAGCAGGCTGGGAATAGGAGCCAGAGAGAGAGGAGGAGCTGCCACACACTTTAAAATGACCAGATCTTGCAAGAACTCACCCACTATTGAGAGGATGGTGCCAAGAGGTATGATGTTTAACCATTCATGAGAAACCGCCCCCATGACTGAATCACCTCCCATCAGGCCCCACCTCCCACATTGGGGATTATATTGCAATATGAGATTTGGGCGGAGACACAAATCCGAACTATATCACCTGACTGAGGCACCACCCACTTCTCCAGTGGGCCTTTTCTGAGAAGGGGCACCGTTGGAAAGAATCTATCATCTGGCCTAGAAGAATATGAGTCATGGCCACTCTCCATGAACTGTTACAGGAGTGTTTCCCAAACTCTGGGGAGAAGGCACCCTCTCTTCCCCTTTTTTTAGGCCAAAAGAAATAACCAACAGTTTATTAATGAGTTCAGTCCAAACAACTTAGCAAACACCTATGCCTTAATAGCTTAGTACTTACTTGTTACAGGAATACATTAAAAATCTAAATAGTACTGTTGTATTACTGCTTGCCATAGTTATTTTCCCTTGCAATGCTGCGCTGCATGGTGGAGGTAAATTGGGTTCGCATTTCCTCTTCTGTGTTGGTTTCCAAGTGGTGCTCGTTTTTTTTTTTTTTTTTTAATCACAGCAGCCACCAAAACCCAGCTTTGCAAAGATAAGGCAGTGCTGTCTGACGCTGGGATGTCTGTTACCAGAGCAAATCATGCGTGGTGTGTGGCAGGGGTTCAGGATTGTCGTGTTTCCCTTGAGTATTTAAAGCCTCCAGAGGGACCCCTGTGAGTTCACACAGGCCCCGAGCACTTGGGTGCATGTCTGGGACCCCCGGGATCAGGGGCAGCCCTGGGCCAAAATGGAGAGGTAGGTTCGTTGATCTCAGGCTTCCCCTTGGCGGTGCCTCAGGTCTCCATGGCTGTTGTGGCCCAGGGCACCCACTGTGGCACCTGGCTCAGCCACAGAACCACTAATCCAAGTTCAACCTCTCACCCCCAGGCCAGAGGTCCTCTTAAAACAACCCTTACAAAGGGTCCACTGATGTCTTCCCTCGAGGGAAGAGTTCTACCTGGCAGCACATTTCATGGTTCCAGGACATCTGCAGTTTCCCAGCACTGGCCTTGCTTCTGGTCACGAATGTTACCCAGAGGAAGCATCCCCTTTGCTTCCTAAAGCCCCTTCCCTGACAGTCTCTCTGTAAATGATGCTTGCTGAAAGTGGGGCCCCTGTCTGATTGCCCCTCAAATCACACCGAGGTGTGCATTTCCCAGTCTTCTAGGACATAATTTCTCCCTTCATCCATCCATATGTTTTTGTTTCCTTGAACATAGCTTTTCAGGACAAAGAACATGAACCTTCCAGACATTTGTTCCTTCACGTGGCACATTTCTCAGCAAGAGGTGGAAACAATCCCAGAACCCTCCCCAGGCCCCTTTGGGAAGACGGTCACCTGCGGGCCAGGGCTCTTAAGACTGACTGGGATGGCAGCCCTGGCGGTGAAGCCCAGCAAGGCCCCTCTGATTGAATTGGTCCTGCTCATCAGAGCTGAAATGCACTTTAACCGGCCTTCGACACCTCTCCATGCTCCTCACAGAAACCGTGGGCTCCGCATTGGGCTATGAGGTGCTACAGGGCCACGAAAACAGTTTGAGATTTAGCTCCTTTCCCCAAGCATTTGCTGTTTAATGATGGAGCCCGGCGCATGAATCTAACAGCAGACATGTTGGGAGCATGCAAGTGCGAGCTGATTAGAAAAGGAAGACCTCACAGTTGCCAGCACACAAAGCCCTAGAAGCGCAGAGGCTTCCAGGGGGGATTAGGAGATATTTCACGCCAAGGTGACTCTGGGCTTGGCCTTGAACAAAGGTGATTTGGGGGAAAGGGAAAGGATTAAGGATTGCAGGAAGAGGACAATATAATAGAAATTCCCAAATAGAATGAACACAAATGTTCTGCAGAAGGAGCTGAGCTCAGGGTGTTACTTAAGACAGGGAGGCTTGAAGGGTGGACAGACATCAAGGGCCTTGGAGGCCAGGTGGGGTGTGGAGACCCGGTGTCACTGTGAGCTGGTGAGCCTGGGACGGAGGCTGGAGGTATTCCAGGTTCCCATCACTGGTTTGTTCCGACTGCCCACGCCTCGGCTCAATGCCTCCTTGTAAGCTTGTTTTGCAAAGTGTTGTACTAATTACCACCTGTGAGTCCATCTGTGTACCCACAAAGGCCTGCAGCCTCTGTCACCCGCTCCCCCCCACAACAGGAGTGCAGGCCGCAGCCTATTGCCAAGGGCTGGAGCCAGGAGAACCTCCACCTGGGAGCTGCGCTGCTATGGGGCCAGATCGGGGCAGAAAGTGGAGCAGCAGGTCCTATTTCAGCTGCTCCCACCATTCTCTTTCAGCTCACCCTCCTCGCCATGTTCATTCACACGCACACACAACATACAACACACACACACTGCACACAACATACAACATGCACTACACACCACACACTAGATATACACCAAACACAATACTCAGTACACTACACACAGAACATACTACACACACAACACACTCCACAGGCATAACACAGTAGACACACTAAAAACACACACAGTCCACTATGTGCTACACACAGAACGTACTACACATACAACATAATTCACAAACAACACACACACTAACACACACAACACACTATACCCACACACTACACACACTGAACACACATCGTATACACACTACACGAGCAACACGCACACGTAGTCCTTCATGTTGCTTTGACACAGAGCCCGTCTTCCTGCACTTCCAGTCTTAGCAGACACGTAATTTAGGACTTTACCAGGTGTCTGAAGCTAATCTGATAAGTTATTGAAAGTTAAATATGCAATAGCATTTTCTTATCTATTTTCATTTCTACTGGGGCTTTGTATGCTGTTTTGGGCTCTCCGGCCCTCTTTCATCCTTGCCCACATCACATAGAAATTCACATTCTGGCCATTCTGAGTCTACTGTTCTTAGCGTGTGCCAAGTGCGGTGGCTCACTCCTGTAATTCCAGCACTCTGGGAGGCTGAGGCAGGTGGATCTCCTGAGCTCAAGAGTTCGAGACCAGCCTGGGCAACATGGCAAAACTCCAGCTCTACCAAAAAATACAAAAATTAGCCTGGCATGGTGGTGCACACCTGTAGTCCCAGCTACTCGGGAGGCTGAGGTGGGGGTACTACTTGAGCCTGGGAGGTGGAGGATGCAGTGAGAGGAGATTGCACCACTGCACTCCAGCCTGGGCAACAGAGCAAGACGCCATCAAAAAAAAATTAACATTCTGGTGGTACGAGTGTTGCTTGTTATTCCTCCTCTTTTGTACCACTGGGGAAATAAAAACAGATATCAGATATAATGAGCACAGAGTTGACCTCATCAACACCACCCCCTCCAACACACACTTCTCTTTCCCCTATGGGATTTTTGGTTATGTGAAGACAATTTCCATCCAATATTTGGGGAAAAATATTAATCCAGTGAAGAAGCATGAATGCAGGTGTCTTATACTGATAATGTGCTGTCTATTTGGTAATTTGAGTATATGTTGAATTAGAAGTATGTTTGCGGGGCTGGGCACAGTGGCTCATGCCTGTAATTCCAGCACTTTGGGAGGCCAAGGCAGGTGGATCACTTGAGGTCAGGAGTTCAAGACCAGCCTGGCCAACATGGTGAAACCTCATCTCTACTAAAAATACAAAAATTAGCTGGGCGTGGTGGCGGGTACCTGTAATCCCAGCTACTCGGGAGGTTGAAGCAGGAGAATCGCTTGAACCCGGGAGACGGAGATTGGTTGCAGTGAGCCGAGATGGTGCCACTGCACTCCAGCCTGGGTGACAGAGCAAGACTCCCTCTCAAAAAAAAAAAAAGAAAGAAAGAAAGAAAAAAGAAAGAAAGGAATATGTTTTGGGGATTCTTATTTATTGCTTCTCTGGTAAAACCCACCTGAATCCTGCTCCTCCTCAAGTCTTCTCCATCTTAGTAAACAGAACCTCCAACCCCCACTGCTCAAGCCAGAAACCTGAGCATCCTCCTTCCTCCATTCACACTTAGCATCTGCACCTGACAGCCAGCCATAAATCCACCTCGACTATTCTTTCAAAGAACTTCAAGTACATCTACTTTTTAAAGACATCTTACTGGGAAATGGTGGATGGGAAACAGATACCGGGGAATTGGAAGCCCTATAAGTTGACTTGTCTAAATAGGACAATGAACCTGAGATTGAGCTGGGAAAATATTCCTGAACTCCAGGCTCTGCACAGATGGTTGAGCCAGAGTCTGCGGAGGACTTAAAAATGTATCATTTCCCAAAGATGGTTGCAAAAGAATAAACCAAGAGGAGAATTAATACTATAATTTTATATTTCTTTTTTTCAATAAATGTTTTAATATAAAGCTTGAGGGTTTCACCAGTTTGACACCATGTTACATGTAATTTCTATAAAAGAATCATGCTTTGTGCAGCCCTAGCACATAGTAGGAATGCAAATGTTTTCTGACTAAATGAATGAAGATGGAATTAGTGAATGGATAACAGAAAGATTGACTGGTGGTAAGGAGCTTAAATTTGTAACTGTTTACAATAGCCCTCTGATCAGTTGCCTTGGCAGTCACGAGAGTCAGAAACAGTATCAGTGTTAAGATTTCATTCATTTCTTCGGAGCTATTAATCAAAAAATGGGAAACAGGAATGTTGCAGCTTCGTAAGGGAGAAATACACATTAAGAGGTGCCATTTAATGACATAGATGGTTAAATACCTAAAGGCTACATTTGATCATTCAGCCAAGAAATATTGATTGAATGCTTACTCTGCATTAGGCACAGAATTAGGGCTGGGATGGAGCAGTAAAAAACAAGCCAAAATATGCTGCCTCTAGGGGTCTTATGTTCTACCAGGAGACACAGGCAATAAGCAATAAACATAAAAGGATTATACATATAATGTATGCAGAGCGGTATACATATTTGTGTGTGCATATATGTGTGTGCATACATAGGTTATATATATATGTGCATATATATGTGTGCATACATAAGTTATATATGTACGTGCACATATATAAAATGTAATATATTAGAAGGTGATAAATGACATGAGAGTGACTTAGGGTGGGGAATGGGTAATCAGAAGCTCCCGCATGGGGATCAGGGGAGGTTTCAATTTGGAACTGGGCATTGCGGAAGATATCACCAGAAGCTGTTACTTCAGCAAGCACTTGAGGAAGGGGAGAGAAAGCCACACAGACATCTCTGGTAGAGCATCTTAGGCTGAGGGAGTCACCAGCTCAAGGGTCCCGGGGTAGGACATACCTGGAATGGCTGAGGAAGATGGGGAGGCCAGCTTCTCCCAGGAAAAGCCAGCTAGTCTGGGCCACAGACTTTGCTCAAGGCCATGGGAGCCTCATGGAGACAGAGTTGGTGACGAGCACTTTGCTGATTCAGAGAAGAGTGAGCAAAGACAAGTTTGCCTCTTTGGGGGTTTCAGAAGAGATGTTTCTGCTTATACCTGACAATATGAGCTGTTGGGTGTCTCCCATCTGCTGTAAAAGGGAGCCTTGTATGAGTTAGGGTTTCCTGGGGAAATAGAACCTATCTATCATCTATCTATCTATCTATCTATCTATCTATCTATCTATCTATCTATCATCTATCTATCTATCTATATCTATCTACCTATTCTGTGTGTATATATATATGTGTGTGTGTTCTGTTTATATATATATACACATGCATGTGTGTATATATATGTTCTGTTTATGTATATATATACACACACAAATATATATATATGTGAGCTATTCTACATCTTAAGATATTTATTATGAGGAATTTGCTCAGAAATTTTGGAGGCTGAGATGACCCAAGACCTGCAATTGGAAAGATGAGGACCCAGGAGAACCAATGATGTCATTCCAGTCTGAGTCCAAAGGCCATAGAATCAGTAGAGCCCATGGTCTAAGTTCTAATCTGAAAGCCTGCAGGCTAGATACCCAAGAGCCAAGGTTCAGTTCAAGTCCAAAGGCTCAGACAGTCCCAGCTCAGACAGTCAGGCAGCAGGCCTTCCTGTTCCTCTGGAGAAGGCTGGCATTTTGGTTCTATTCAGGCCTCCAACTGATTGGATGAGGTCCACCTACATCAGGAATGGCTGCCTGCTTTACTCAATCCATCACTTCAAATGCTGTTATCACCCAGAATTATTCTCACAGACACACTCAGAATTATGTTTGACCAAGCATGTGGGACCCCATGTCCTAGTCATAGTTGACACATAAAATTAACCATCCCAACTCTCCATCTTTTAGCTTTCATTTACTTAATCTCATTTAAGGATCATGTTTGGCTCTGTGTGGTGCATGTCCACCCTGTAGGCCAATCCCTGCAGACAGGGGGAAAAAATATCATCACTGACTCTGTCATCAGGAGGCAGTAGGTGGGTCACTTGTTGATGGCCCCAGCAGAACCATACAAGAGTAGTCCCCCACAGAGAGATGGTGCCAGATGACAAAAGCAATAAAAAGCCATTGCAGATGAAGTTTTGCACAGTAAATGTTTATACTTGTATGTATATAAGGTGCTTTACTGTATGTTATCTTATTTGTTTCTCACAATCACCATGTGAGATAAAGGTTTGATAAAACTGTACCGTGCAGAGATTAAGTGGCCTACTTAACTATGGTCAGATTGCTGCAGAAAGGAAAGACAGACTGACTCCCAATCATAAGTGATTTCTGCCATTACCTGGCAGGAAGAAATGGTCCCATTTGGAGTCATTACCTTTTCTGATGTCCTGTGACCACAATGGCTATGTAGAAGTGATTTAGAGATTGTTGGGGTACCTAAGGTGGTCCCAAAACTTCTAGGTTAAGACCTGTTTGTTCAATACTCCCATCCTCGTCCCCCCAGCTCTCACTAGTTTCTCTTGCAATTCCTGACCGAGGCTTGCTTACTTCCTGTTAATTTTGTGCTTCATACCTGTGATGGTTAATATTGAGTTATTGAGTGTCAACTTGATTGGATTGAAGGATGCAAAGTATTTTTCCTGGGTGTATCTGTGAGGGTGTTGCCAAAGGAGATTAACATTTGAGTCAGTGGACCCAGAAAGGCAGATCCACCCTCAATCTGAGATGGGGGGCACAATCGAATTAGCTGCCAGCGTGGCTAGGATAAAAGCAGGCAGAGGAACACGGAAGGACTAGACTTGCTGAGTCTTCTGGCCTTCATCTTTCTCCTGTGCTGGATGCTTCCTGCCCTCCAACATCGGACTCCAAGCTCTTCAGCTTCTGGACTCTTGGACATACAGCAGTGGTTTGCCAGGGGTTCTCAGGCTTTTGGCCACAGACTGAAGGCTGCACTGTCAACTTCGCTACCTTTGAGGTTTTGGGACTTATACTGGCTTCCTTGCTTCTCAGCTTGCAGAAGGCCTGTTGTGGGACTTCACCTTGTGATCATGTGAGTCAATACTCCTTAATACACTCCCTTTCATATATACACGTATCCTATTAGTCCTGTTGGTCTAGAGAACCCTGACCAATACAATACCTTTCTAACCACATAACTCCCATCTGTACCCACCTGTGACTCCTAAGATCAGGCACTTCTCCTTCTCCAAGGTTTCTCTCTTTTTTTTTTTTTTTTGACAGAGTCTTGCTCTGTCGCTCAGACTGGAGAGCAGTGGTGCGATCTCAGCTCACTGCAACCTCCACCTCCCAGGTTCCAGTGATTCCCCTGCCTCAGCCACCCGAGTAGCTGGGATTACAGGCGCCTGCCACCAAGCACAGCAATTTATTTTTTTTGTAGTTTTAGTAGAGTAAATTTTTTTTGTAGTTTTGTAGTGTAGTAGAGTACACCATGTTGGTCAGGCTGGTTTCGAAATCCTGACTTCAAATGATCTGCCCACCTTGGGTTCCCAAAGTGCTAGGATTACAGGCATAAGCCACCACACCTGGCCAAGTTCTCTTTTTTGAGTAAATAACCAACTGAGAAATGTAGACTTCCTACGATGGTTGTCAATTGAGAAGTCATCTGTCATAGCTGAGGGTGTGCAATTGAGGGAATCTCCTAGAGACAGTGCTTTAAGACAAGGGAGAAAAAAAACAACCTTCTATGATAGAAATTTTATTATCTGTGCTTCCAAGAACAAGGATGATCTGGTGGCCTCAGACCAGCAGGGCTAGGGTCAGGAACCAGGGTCTCAGGGCACCTATGAGATTCCAGCCACCAACACTCTCATCAGAGTCAGCCAGCCTCTGATAAAGTGGCTGTGGAAGTACTCATTTCTCTACAGATTAGGGGTCTTGGCTGTGGGATCCACAGATGGAATGAGTGGGGAAGCTGGCCAGGGAGAAGCCGGGAGCTCGGTCACTCTCTGGGCCATTCTTGCATCCATGGCCCGACGTCCAACTCCCCACAGAGCTTGGCTGCCTATGGGCTTGCATTGCTTTCAGCACTCCTGCTAATTGAATATCTTCACTGCAGTCTTCTTTTTTGTTTTTTTTTTTTTTTTCAGCTGGAGTATTGCTCTGTCTCCCAGGCTGGAGTGCAGTGGGCTCACTGTAACCTCCACCTCCCGGTTCAATCTATTCTCCTGCCTCAGACTTCTGAGTAGCTGGGACTACAGGCACCCACCAGCACACCCGGCTAATTTTTGTATTTTTAGTAGAGTCGGGGTTTCACCATGTTGGCCAGGCTGGTCTTGAACTCCTGACCTCAAGTGATCCACCCACCTCGGCCTCCTCGCCAGATGCTCCCTTCTCTTTGGAATTGGGAGGCAAAACTCATCCCCTTGCTGTGCTTTTTCAAGCATGATTTAGGGAACTTTGTGATTCCACTCAGCAGAATCTTAGGGGTGTGTGGGAAGGGTTGGATTCTGCCCCACCCCAGGTCCTACTGTTTAAAAAGCAGACAAGAGACAGGAATGGCTTTGAAAGGGCTCCTCGAAGCCTGCGCCGGAGCCTGCCTCTGCTGATGAGAGTCACGGGCACTGGGAGCATATGGGGAGCAGAGAAGCAGCACAGCCAGGAGTGAGTACGGGATCCCTGTGATGTCTGAGTGTCTGACCTCCTTCCAGTCACTTCCTTCCCAGTCACACAGCCCCGGAACTCTAGCGCACTCAGGCAGGGGCTCAGCGTCTTGTCCTGCCACCAACACAGCAAGGACTTTAAACACAGACAGCTCAACAAAAGCTTTCCTTTCTTCACTTTGAATTCTCAGTCTCATTTACTCCCCAGATTTCAAAGTGATCCAATAGAATGGGCTTTGAAAACGAGATTACCACAAAGGTGTAATATTTTAAATGCACTATTTTTTCTGAATTTATTCTTCATATTCTCCAGACTTAAAGAACACTTGATAGCTGAGTCTCAATAGGTTGACTGTCACAGTATTTAAATTTTGTTTTCAGACTTTCTATTGTTTTAAACAAAGTGAAATTGTAGTCATTCATTGATACCTCCTTATCTTCTGCCTTTACTGACTTTAATCATTGAATGAGGAATCTAAACAGAGTTCAGATTTTGATTTAAATAAATAAACAGGAATGGCTGGGTGTTGTGGCTTATGCCAGTAATCCCAGCACTTTGGGTGGCCGAGGCGGGCAGAATACTTGAGCTCAGGAGTTCAAGACCAGCCTGGACAACACAGTGAAACCCTGTCTTTATCAAAAAATACAATAATTAGCCAGGCATGGTGGCAGGCAACTGTAGTCCCAGCTACGTGGGAGGCTGAGGCAGGAGAGTCGTTTGAACCCAGGAGGCAGAGGTTGCAGTGAGCCAAGATCATGCCACTGTACTCCAGCCTGGGCAACAGAGCGAGACACCATCTCAAAAAACTAAAATAAAAAAATAAAAAAACAGGAATGCTTGTGGCAATTATTTTAATTTTTTCTCTTTCTTTTGAAGAGGCTATCTTCCATCAACAGTAATGTCTCTAACCATTAATTTCTCTGCATTCTCCTTAATTAAAATATGCAATTTTATGTTCATTCGAGCTGTGATTCTCAAGTGAAAAGCAATAATGAATAAAAAAGTATTTATCCCAGAAAAATGACTAGTAAACATGGAATTCCTCCTGGTCCTGCCTTATTGTTTATTCATTCATTTTTTTCACCCAATATCTATTTACTGAGGACCCCCTCTATGCAAAGCACTATTCTGGGGGTGGATGGGTACTAAAGGTGAGTAAAACAAGATCCTCATCCTCATGGAGAGAAGATGATTCTTTCGAAGCGTGCAGGAAAGGAAGAAATCATAGCTAGAGAAGGGATTCAGGAAACGAGGTGATGGCATTTAGACTCACTTAAACTCAGAGTTGATGTCACTGTAACCTTGGGGGCTCCCGGGAATTTCGTGCTGATAGGTTCACGCAGATCAGGCTGCTGGTCTCTCATCAGAAGTGGGCTAAGATGTGGCCCTCCCATAAAACGTGTGGCCACACGCAGGACTGTCATCGACGGCTCTAACCTCTCCTTCCTGCTGCTTCTGCACTTAGCAATTTCTTCATAAGCTTGGCATGCCTTGGTTTGGACCGTCTATATGCCTCATTCTACAAAGGAAGAGAGCAAAAGAGAATAACTAGTTATTTGAAGAAATCCTGTGGCATGAAAAAGAAAGATGGGGGTAAGTAGAGCAACCAGCAGAAACAGACAATCAGGGAAATAAAGGAAAAAATTAGCATCTTCCATTAGAAAATGTAGAAAAACTTACCAGTTTACAAAACCAAACAAAACACGGTGTGAAAAAGACTCAATTAGAAAGCAAGAATTAGCTACTGGAAGATAAAATCAGATTAGATTTTGGAAGAGAGTGTTAATTAACAATTCAGTGTAAAGGTTCAAAGGGAAGGCTGAGGAAATCGTCTAGAATTTAGAGCACAAAAATAGAGAGTGGGAAAACGTGAAAAAGACAAGGGGGCCAGAATTTTAATCCAGAAGGTCTAACATTTAATTAACACAACTTTCAGAAAGAGAGACCAACAGGAATACAAACAGCTAATAATCGAATAAATACTACAGAAAATTATCCGGCCCCAAGTGATAATTGAGTCTTCAAAGCGAAAGAAGCCTTCAAGCATCAGGAGGGATGAATGCAAAGATAACCATAGCTGGATATGCATTTAGGAAATGTTACAATGGCAGGTGAAGGAGAATATCATAAAAAGCTTTGAGAGAACTCATAAAACAGGTAACCTACAAAGAACTGAGGCTTTAGCTGGTGTCAGACATCCTGTCAGCAAGAAAACAGTGAAGCGCCCTCAGAACCTTTTAGGAAAATTATTCTGATCTTAGAATCGGTACCAGACTCTCAATCATGCCTAAGAACAAAATCAAGTCACTTTCAGCCAAAAGAGAAAAAAATTGTACCTTCTAAAGCCTTCTTGATGAAGTCTTTTCAATTCATACTCTAGCAAAATACCCCTGAAAGTGAAGGAAAGGGAAGATGTGGGTATCAGAAACAGAGAAACTAACCTGAGTTTACTGAAGAGCCATCCTCGGATGACCGTTTTGTCGCAGGGTATGCAAACCATGTGTCCAAATTAGAGCAGGAAGTCAGTGAGCTTCAAAGGCAGTGCCTATCTCAGGAGAGTGGAGTGGGATGCAGGCAGTGTACAGAACAAGAATAAGGAATATCATGAAAACGACGTAAGTTTCAGCTCCCCTCCCTCCCCAAATGAAGTCCATTTGAAACTCTAGGAAAAAAACTGTATAAGGAAATTATAGTCTAGATATCAAGAAAACTAAAGCACAATGTAGGACCCTTCCATTGACTCTGGAAATAGAAAAATGAAGACTGCATTTCACCACGAGCCTACAGATAATGGTCTTAAGTCCTAAGAATCGTGACATTGGAATTCTAGAAAGGAAGTGATTACATTTTTAGTTTTTCAAATTTTCAAGATATAAACAAAGCCTAGAAGGCTTCATTATGGATACTAAAAAGAGTGTAAATATTATTAATATTGATGATAAAATATAGAGTACACAGAATTTGAGAATAGAGAGGTACAAATACACTCTCTAAAAGTGTGGGTTCAAAAGATACTTGTGAAGTCTGACAAAGACTTAAAATAATATACTTAAGTTTTAAATGGGACCAATTCGAGGAACTAGAAGAGAGTGAAGCAATTGTAACAACTTGCAATGAACAGAAGGTGGAAATCATGATAAGAGCGCCGAATCCTTTGCTCTTACAGATAGAATTCAATAAAAGAATAAAAGAATTCAAGAAATAGGGTGACAACATATTATTTAACAATGCGGAAATGACAATCAGAAGAATTAAAGCTGCAAAGAGGTAGAAATGGTTATCTCCTGGAAAGGGACTGTTGTAGTACTTTTAATACTTGTGTTACATGTTTTTTAATATTTGTTCAAGTATTACTTTAATAAAAATTATTTATTAAAATATGTTCTTCAACTAAAGTAACTTCAGACATCTTTATCACGTAGGCAAACCTTGGTAGTTGGATAATCAATGACAACATAATTGTATAATCAATATGCAGCTATGCATACAGTTACAGATACACATATGTATACAAAATATATAATCTGCTGTATGAATCTCCTCTCATCTGCTTGGTGCCTTCATGAGGAACATAACCTTTTTTATTTGTTTGTTTGTTTGAGACAGAGTTTAGTTCTTATTGCCCAGGCTACAGTGCAATGGCACGATCTTGGCTCACTGCAACCTCCACCTCCTGGGTTCAAGTGATTCTCCTGCCTCAGCCTTCCAAGTAGCTGGGATTACAGGTGTGTGTCACCACGCCTGGCTACTTTTCTATTTTTAGTAGATATGGGGTTTCACCATGTTGGTCAGGCTGGTCTAGAACCCCTGACCTCAGGTGATCCATCCACCTCAGCCTCTCAAAGTGCTGGGATTACAGGCGTCAGCCACCATGCCTGGGCCTAACCTTTACCTAAAATGATTTTCTCATTCTAATTCACTGATTATTTATTTATATTTAATTAATATAGATTATTCTATTGTCTTGCCAGCCCAAGACTCATTTGTACCTTGAAGACTGTGTAGCATATCCTAATTCTGATCTGTTATTGTGTGGACTTTAATATTCAAATAGGTTGGCTTTTTCTCTTATTTCCAAATTCCAGTGGCCATTTCACTTTTTTGCTGAGGCAACTCAAGGGGAAAACAGGGCTGGTTTGGGGCTTACATAGTCATAAATGTGATGTGAACTATCCAATTAGGTTATGTGTAGAAGAGAGTGTCCACTTCCCGTAGTAACTGGGGTGGTGTAGGAAGCAGAAGTTATGCGGTGGAAATGCAGGGATCAACTAGTAGGAACTATTTTCTTGGACATTCTGGCTTTGAGTGTCCATTTGTGCTGTTCCCATTATTATGTGTGGGGAACTCTGCCATCACCACCCCTGCCTGGACATAGAAGGCAAATGACCAGCCTCATTATTTGATTTTGAACAAATTACTATCCTGTTAGTCTCAATTTTCTTATCTGTGAATATGGGAATAATAATAATGATCTTGCAGGGCTGCTGTTAGGATTAAATAATAGAGTTGATGTAAAGCATTTGCCCATCAGATGCTAAGTCCCCAGTGCCAGATATTACATAATAATATTATGATTTCATCAGCTTTTAATGTTTGAATAGAATCCACTGGGATTTATTTGTAAGCTTAAATTGTGAAGATAGCTAAGTGACTCTTTTATTCAGTGAACCACACAACCATTGTTTTTAAATTACCAAGTGTACATGACTTTTTATTTATTTTTTTGAGATGGAGTCTCACTTTGTCGCCCAGGTTGGAGTGCAGTAGCTCGATCTTGGCTCACTGCAACCCCTTTCCCCCCAGGTTCAAGCGATTCTCCTGCCTCAGCCTCCTGATTAACTGGGATTACAGATGCAAGCCAGCATGCCTTGCTAATTTTTGTATTTTTTGTAGAGACGGGGTTTCACCATGTTGGTCAGGCTGGTCTCAAACTCCAGCCTGTTGAGGTCAAACACAGGCTGACCTTAAGTGATTTGCCTGCCTTAGCCTCCCAAAGTGCTGGGATTACAGGCATGAGCCACTGTGCCCGGCCAGTACGTGGCTTTAGATTAGCTATTCTCAAGAGACAGAGACTGTAATAAGATCCTGGAGAGGAGATGGAAGTGGAAATTTTATATTTATCACAAGAGGTCGTATGTTTAAGAAAAGATTGAACAGAAAGCAAATGCTGTATGATTTCACTTATATGTGGAATCTAATATTGTCAAACTTACAGAAGCGAAGAGTAGAATAGTGGTTACCAGGACCTGGGGAGAAGGGGAAACAGGGAGATGATGGTTAAAACATGCGAAGTTTTAGTTATGCAACATCAATAAGCTCTGGAGATCTACTGTACATCATGTGCCTATAGCTAACAATACCGTATTGTGTACCTAAAATTTGCTAAGAGGGTAGATCTTATGTTTCGTTCTTACCACGAAAACCTCAATAATAAAAATAAAGGGAGAAGGAGAAAACTTTGAGAGGTAAATGATTATGGCCTTGATGGTGGTGACAGTTTCACAGGTGTATACTTAACCCCAAACTCATTGAGATGTACACATTAAACATGTACAGCTCTTTGTACTTCATTATATCTCAATGAAGTGGTTAGAAAAAAATGGTTGGGAGAATAATTCTCTGAAAACTTTTATTAAAATATCATTCTGGTACGTAGGCGGCCCTTAATAGATATTTATTGTCTATTATCTAGATAGATTGCATAAAAGATCCATGCCACCAAAAGAACATAGGTTTTCCACGTGCATTTTCTATAGATATTTAAATTGCCTCTTTAGATTTGAATTGACATGTGAGCCAAACTGTAATTGCCTGCAGTTATTAAAATATAATCTACTTTTTAATGAGGACCCGACATTTAAAAAATTCTAAGCTCATGTTATTATTATCGTAAGAACTATAAGTTACCCTTGTAACTATCTCCATTACATCTCAGAGCATGCGCACACCATCCACTTCAGCTTCACGTGCCTGTTACATTCTAATCCAGGCAAAGGAAGAGGGCACTAAGTTACCTAATAACTCCCAACAAGGAACCATTTCAGAACCTAAACAACATGACAACTGGGGGCCTTAAGTATAGATTAAGTTATTAACACAGTGTACTGCACATTTTGCAAAGTGGTTTTATAAAAAGTAATTTTAGGCCAGGCACAGTGGCTCATGCCTGTAACGCCAGCACTTTGGGAGGCCGAGGTGGGCAGATCATGAGGTCAGGAGATCGAGACCATCCTGTCCAACATGGTGAAACCCTGTCTCTACTAAAAAAAAAATACAAAAATTAACCAGGCATGGTGGTGCACACCTTTAGTCCCAGCTACTCAGGAGGCTGAGGCAAAAGAATCCCTTGAACCCAGGAGGCAGAGGTTGCAGTGAGCCGATATTGCACCACTGCACTCCAGTCTGGGTGACAGAGTGAGACCCTGTCTTGAAAAAAATAAAAGTAATTTTAGTAGATGAACATTAATTATATAGAAAATTAGCAATAAGACTGTGAGAAGCTTATTGCAGTATACAAATATTTGTTACAGCAGGAGAGCAAGAATTCTGGAAAGGGACACGGCTTGGTTGTAGTTGGGGGCTCTGGGCTCAGAGGAGGTGCTCCATGGGCTGAGACCCAGATCTCTGAGTAGGGGTCCTGTCCTGCTGGTGTCCTCAGGGGTGCCATGAGGGTGATGTCGGAACAACAGAACTCAACTGTCGGCAGGGAGAAAGAGCATGGTGCAGTGTTCCTGACAGGGAGAGGAAACCAACAGGAAGTAGACAGGCAAGACGATGACTTTCTTCCTCCTCCAGTCCCCCAATCTGTCTCTAGTGACCCTTGTTGGTAGAGCCTGACAAGAAATCAATTGGCAAAGAGAAAATGTGGTTTCCAGAATTTCAGCTCCAGCACAAAGTAGGGACGTGTACAAGGGTGCTTCAAAGCAGGAAGAAAACACTTTAATTACTGGCTATGATTAACCTATGGTGAGCTTCCCAGATCCCCATACAACCCACCCTTTCAAAACAAGGCACTCTGTCTGTGAGATGCCTGGGCTGTTGCCTGGTGTCTTAGTCCATTTTCACGCTGCTGATAAAGACATGCCCTCAACTGGGCAATTTACAAAAGAAAGAGGTTTAATTGGACTTACAGTTCCATGTGGCTGGGGGAGCCTCACAATCCTGGCAGAAGGCAAGTCCCATCTTACATGGATGGCAACAGGCAAAGAGAGAATGAGGAAGATGCAAAAGTGGAAACCCCTGATGAAACCATCAGAACTTTAAAAACCTAAGTTTTTAAATTAAATAATAGCATTTTTTATTTTTTACTTTTTAAAATTAAAAAAGAAACTTTTATTTTAGGTACAGGGGTCCATGTGCAGGTTTGTTATATAGGTGAACTCTTGTCATGGGGGTTAGTTGTACAGATTATTTGAGACTTATTCACTACCACGAGAACAGTATGGGGGAAACCGCCCCATGACTCTACTGTTTCCCACAAGGTCCATCCCACAACTCGTGGGGACCTGGGAGTAAAATTATGGGAGTGCAATTCAAGATGAGATTTGGGTGGGGACACAGAGCCAACTCATATCACCTGGTGACCTTTCACAGCCAACTCTTCCCCAGGAGTTGCCCTTGGACAGAGAAGGTTAACCACTGGCTGGAGGTAACCCAAACCCAATGACTGGTGACATGAAGGAACAAAGGCCTGACCCCATTCTTGTCTCCATTTAGGAAAGCTCTGGAGGCTCACTCCAGCTCCAGTCATCCCCTTGGGATCAGCTGAGGACTCTGCAACAGCTACAATTAAGTTCTGCTCTGTCCTGCTTCCTGCACAGGTGTTCCTGTGAGCACTTCCCAACCAACTTCCTGCACACACCCCCATCTCCAAGATACTGGCAATTCCCACAACAATCCATAGACAGAGTTTGTCCGTGCGGCCAAATATACGGGTGGCTTACGTCAGTGGCTCTTTTACCTTCAACAGGTGGCTTCTAAGATCGCCAAAGAAAGGAAAGAGTGGAGAAGGCAGTCCTCCTTCTTCATCATGTTGGTCACAAAACTAAATACATGTTTCTGCTCACATTTCATTGCCTATAATGGGACCCATATTACAATGCACAGTTCCTGGCTGGGCAGCTGCTGGCTAGAGCACTGCGGTGCTACCACACAAATTGCCATTCCTGCCACGTTGCAGTGTAGGTAAGTTGTTGTTTTTAAATCTGCCACTTTTATCTAGTAAACTTGCTAAACTCTGTTGTTATAAGCTCTAGAAGTTTGTTGATTCTCTTTGCTACATTATAGGAGCATTTTGGATTCTTTTAATACTTACTAGTAGGTCCTCCAAGAAAATTATAATGGAAGTGTTATTGGCAGGGATCTTTCTCTAATCATTGGCCAACTTCCACCATTAATCATGATGTCTGGGGAGAGTTAATTAATTAAGTAAACCTTTATTGAACTATAAACCTAAATACAAAAAAGACAACAATTTATAAGTGTATAATTCGGTGAATTTTCACAAAGTGAACACACCCACTTAAGCAGCATCCAGTTTGAAAAAAAAATTATGCATGTAAATAATTTTATATTGATCTCTTAGAAGCTAACTTGCTAACTTTTTGATTATCTATAAAGTTTGTCTGTAGATTCTTTGTGGTTTTAAAAAAAGACAATTACAGTTATGTCAGTTTTATTCCTTTTCAAATCTTATCATTTTTTATTACCATTAACTATTTTCTGGTCTTATCTCACTATCTAGAAACTTCTTTTAATATTTAATAGAAAAAGTACTAGAAATACTTTTTCTTTTTTGGTCAGGAACATGGCAAGATCTTTCCACTAACATTTCATCATTAATTATGATTTCTGATGTGACGTTTTGGTAGATGTTGCTCTCTTTGATTTCCCTTATGAGAAGACTTTTTGAAATCATGAATGGATGCTAAATATTTTACCTTCTTGGCAGTGTTAGAATAATCCATCATGACCAAAAAGGATTTTTCCCCAAAATTAATATAATTTATTTCCTTTAATGTATTAATTGGACTTAAATTTATTAATTGAAATTAAAGCAAAAAACTATATGGTTTTTATATGTAATACATCACTGGATTTTATTTTGCAAAAAAAAATGAAGCATTTGTCATTTAAGATTATGAAAAAGAAAAAGATCGGCCTCATTTTTTCTTTTCATATTGCCTTTATTTGGCTGTGATTCCAGAGTTTCAGTGGTCTCATAGAATGGGGTAGAAATACTTTTTCTGTTCTCTTGTAGAGTACTAACAGGGTCAGGAAGATACATTTCTTAAAAGTTAGAGGAAGGTACTGATAAAAACACATATGACTTTTTAGGGGAACATAGTTACCCATTGATTCCATTTCCCTGGTAGCTATTGTATTATTCAGGCTTTCCAATTTTCCTCCTTCTGTTTGCATTGGTAAGTTATGTTTTCGAGGAAATTTTCCACATTAAAATTTCAAACTATTAGCTAACATTGTTGAGAGTATTCTTTTAATATCTTTAAAATCTCTGAGGAATCACTCATTGACCCTTATTCATTCCTAATGTTATTTTTCATGTGCCTACCCCTCCTCACCATTGTCTTCCTCCTTCCTTCTGTCTCACCAGATTTCCATGTTTTATTCGTGTTTTAATAGAAATAACTTTTGGCTTTGTTGATATTTTTATTGTATCCTTTATTTCTATTTATTTTTTACTTTTTCTTATCTATATTCTATTATTCTACTTTAAAAATATTTAAGTTTTTAAATTTACTAACAGCACTTTATTTGTGTTTAAGTTTAAAAAATTTTTCAAAAACTGTTATTTTAGGTTCAGGGGTACATGTACAGCCTTATACAGGTAAACTCATGTCATGGAGGTTTCTTGTACAGATTATTTTGTCACCCAGGTGCTTAGCTTAGTACCCATTATTTGTTTTTTTCTGACCCTCTTCCACCTAGCAATCCACCAAAACACTTACTTCAAAAACCAGCAATTTATTTAGCTCTGATCTGATAGGGTGGCAATTTGGGGGCTGAGCTCAGCTGAGCAGCTCTCCTGGTCTCAGCCAGGCTTCCTCATGTGTCTGTGGTCAGCTCCGTTCTGCCGGGAGGTTGTTGTTCCAGGAACTTGGAAGGAAGTAGAAATATGCAAAGTTCCTGAGGACTTGGCTAGGTAGGCATTGTCACACCATCCTCTCTTCTGTCCCCCTCAGAGTTAAACTTGTTGCTTCAGGATATTTGAACAAGGGTAGAAGGAGGTAAAAAGCAAGACTCCATCTCGAATAAAATAAAAATAAAATAGAAATTATATAAAGAATAAATTTAAAATTGCCAAAATTCTACCACAAAAAAGAAACTCTTGTTAGCATTTTGGTCAGCATCCTCCCAGATATCCCTCTAGGCCTAAGTGCCTTTGTTAACATCTATGTAAAGGTATAAGTGAGAGGTCACTGGGAAAAATAGAACATCCCATTGGCTTACATGAAATGCAATAAAGGTCAAAAATTCACTGAGTCTTTACAAATGGTCATTTCAAAACTCAGGCTGGAATTTTGTGTAGTTAAGGGGAGAGGGGACACATTAGTGCAACACCAATGGGCTACTTGCTTATTCCTTCTAGATCTTAGGTCACAACCTGTAAAAAGGGGATGAAGGAAAAAAGCCAACTCTTTTTGCAAGATGTGAAATAGCCACATGGCTTTGAGCGATGGGCTCTAGGCAAATTGCGAGGCACTTAGATATTTCTTTTTCCTCTTTATGGATCTCTGATAATTAATGCTTGCCTTTGAGAGGTTTGAAATATGTATGCAGGTGTGTGTGTGCGGGAGGTGGGTGGTATATGTGTTTGTATGAACCACTGTATGGCTATAAAATGTTCTTAGCCATTGAATAACTTAGAAAGATTATTTGTAATGCCCCCCAAACCGGTGTAGGTGTGTGTTCATCCCTACATCTTCGCCAGTTCTAAATTTTGTTAGTTCTTAAAATGTTTGCCAACCTGATAGACAGAGTTTTGTAACTGTAATTTTCAGCCTTGACAATACTAAATGAAATGTGTCTATTAATCATTGGTAATTCTATGATAAATTGGCCCTTTACCCACTTTGCGCTTTGCAACTTCATCTTCTATTTATTTAGACAGGGTCTCACTCTGTCACCCTGGCTGGAGGGCAGTGGTATGATCGTGGCTCACTGCAACTTCGAACTCCTGGACTCAATTGATCTTCCTGCCTCAGCCTCCTGCATAGCTGGGACTCCAAGTGCACGCCACCATGCCCAGCTAATTTATTTTTTATTTTTTATTTTTGTAGAGACAGGGTCTAGCTATGTTGCCCAGGGTGGTCTGGAACTCTTGGCTTCAGCTGATCCTCCTGCCTTGACCTTCCAAAGTGCTGGGATCACAGACATGAGCCACTGCACCTGGCCTCGTCTTTTATTTTGTAATTGATATATAAAAACATATTACAATAGACAATATGTTAGAAAATGTAAAATATAAATTTTCTCACAGATTGGTTTTTGCATTTGAATTTTATTTGTTGTAGTTTTCTGTGAAGACATTTACAGTTTTTTCATGTTAAAATTTATAATTCTTCTTGAAAATGTTTTCTGACTTTTTGTTATGAGAAAAAAACTGGATCACATAGTTCAGATTTAATTAAATAACCAAGTTTATAAATAAATCATCGATTTTTGTATTCTGCACTTATTTTACATTTTGATATTTGATCTTTTAATACTTTATTTTTATGTAAGAAATGCGGTAGAGGTAGAGTTCTGTTTTTCTTTGACAATGCCAGCTAGTTT